>NW_018654708.1:0-165015 GCF_000001405.40 Homo sapiens
GGGTCAAAGGTGGGAGTCCCCGGGCCCTAGTGGTGGATGTGGCCAATGGTCCCCTAACTCCGCAGAGGCCTCCCCTGCTGTGAATCTGGGGTTACTTGATGCTTCCACACACCAATTGTGTGTGGGCCTTGGTGGCAATAAGGTACAGGGGGCTGGGCAGAGAGACCACTGGGAACTCAACAAGATTCATCCCATGAATTAGAACCACCAGTAACGCCGCCCTACGAAGGCACAGTGAATAGCCAGTGACCGTCACCAGGCAGTGCACTTGTAGAACCCCCCCCATTGGTGGCTTCCGAGGCTAGGGGGTACAGTGGGGCATCGCCAAGAGATCCTGGGTCAGAGGTCCTGGCCCTGGGTGCCCACTTACCTAGAAAGCCTCTTAGCACTTCAATCTGTCCGGGAACTCTGCACACAGTCCTGGGTCTGGTTGGGGGGGCAACCTCTGGGCACTGCACACTCACGTTGTTCTTCCTCCGGTGGGCACACACAGGGGAGTCTTATTGACTCCCCTGGCCCGACAGTCTTATTGTCCCCCCCGCCCACCGCTGCCACTGCCCCCGCCCCTGCCTGAGGGGACCACATACCTGCTCAGGGGTTCCTTCATGTCCTGCAAAAGACAGGGACGGAGGGTGGGGAGTGAGCCAAGCTCCTGGCTCACCTCAATGTCCCTGCTCCCTTCTTGTCCGTGTCTTAGGGCAAGACCCATCCTGTCCCCTGGGCATTCCCTTCCCACAATTGAGCTTCATGGCACTCCTGAGCCTTCCCCACTGCCCTAGCTCCCACTACCACCAGAGCCCCCAGTGCCTCACCTAAGCTGAGCTACCCTGTCAGCCCACGGCCACACGCCTGAGGTCCTGCAACTCAGGAGAGGCGGAGGGACCCCTTCCAGGCAAGTGGCCACTCAACACTGACCCTCCTCTCCCATTTCAGGTGGGTGCAGCCCACTCAGCAGGAATGGGGTGGGGGCGCAATTGGGTGCAGTTTGGGGAGGGAGGGGGGTGGGTAAGAGACTGAGGCACCTGGGGATTTTCTGTAGCCTCTTTAGGGATTCAGAGTTCCCTAAAGAGATCACTGTTTACTTCTCTGGCCTGGAAGCTACAAGGGACTTGTTTTCCAAAGGCCATATTTCTAGTTGCCAGAGCGTGACCCTAACTCTAGGCAGGGACTCTCATGCAGGTGGCGCGCTTGGCCCTCTGCTCATAGGAGCACCCTTCTACCAGCTGCAGGGGCTTTTCCCTCAGTTGGTCAGCAAACCAATGTAGTGGGTTGTGAACAGGCTGCTTTGTTTTTCCTTTTCCTTTTTTTTTTTTTTCCTAGATGTGATCTCACCATCACCCAGGGTGGAGTGCAGTGGCGCAATAGCTCACTACAGCCTTGAACTCACGGGCTCAAGCAGTCTTCCTGCCTCAGCCTCCTGAGTCCTGGGACCACAGGCGCACGCCACCATGCCCTGCTAATATTTTTAAGTTTTTGTAGAGATGGCGTCTTATCAGCCGTAATCAAGCCCCCTCTCCAGGGCCATGGCACACAGGCTGGTCCCGGCAGACAGGCTGGCTGCTTCACCTCCCCACTGCCGTTGCCACACAACTCACTCCTGGGACAGTGCACCTCCTCCACACCGAGACATGGAGTCCCTGTCCCAAAGCCACACCTGGCTGCCAGGTGTCCCAAGCCACCTCTCTGGACTTGGAAGGAAATGGGGACACTGTCTCAGGTTGGAACCTGTAAGGGGCTGACTTGTGTCCCCACTAATTCACAGGTTGAAGCCTGAACCCTCAGGACCTCAGAATGTGACTGTGTTTGGAGATAGCATCTTTAAGGAGGGAGTTGAGGTCACTGGGGTGGGCCCTAATCCAGTCTGACTGGTGTCTTTATACAAGGAGATGATTAGGACAGAGACGTGCATAGAGAGATGATGCCATGAGGACGCGGGGAGGAGACGGCATCTTCAGGCCTAGGAGAGAGGCTCAGGAGGAACCAGGCCTGCCCGCACCTTGGCCTCAGCCACCCAGCCTCCAGGACTAGCAGACTGGGAGCTAACAGCCCTTTCCCGTTGGCTGCCTCTTCCCCAAGCCCAGCGCCCCCTGCCCATGCCTGTCAGAGCTCACATCCCACCCTGCCTGCCAAGCCTACTGGCTCACCTGCAGCATCTGGAGGGGCCCCTGTGTGCTCCGCTCCTCCAGCTGCAGCAGCAGCAGCTCCAGAGAGTGACCCTGCCGGTCCAGGCAGGCCACGCTCTCCCGGAGCCTGCTGGCAGTCTCCTCTTCTTCCGTCTCCAGAGCCTGGAGGAGCCTCTGCTCTTCTTCCACCAGGTAGAGGTTCATCTTCTCAAACTCCAGCACAATGCGTTCTCTCCGCTCCTTCACCTTGCCCTGCAGGAGTGGAGAAGCCCAGCATGTTGCCAGCAGGTGGCTCAGCTCCAGGGATGCTGGCACCTCTCCCCAGGGCCCTGGTGACCCACAAGATCACCAGCAACTGGAGCTTTAGTTGGGGACCAGGAACTGTGACAGAGGCCCCCACCTCTGCCATCCTGTGATACACTGAGTGTAACCCTCCGAGCCCCGAACTGCAACTTCTACACATCCAAACACCCATGCACCCTTGCTCTGAGGAGGTTCAGAATGTCCACCCCCAGATAAGCCTCTTGGGCATGTTAAACAAAATTTATGGGTGGCCATTGTTTTTTGTTTTGTTTTGTTTGAGACAGGGTCTCGCTCAGTTGCCCAGGCTGGAATGCAGTGGCACTTATTGCAACCTTGACCTCCTGGGCTCAAGTCATCTGAGTAGCTGGGACCACAGGCATGCACCACCACATCCAGCTAGTTTTTAAATTTTGTGTAGGGACAGGGTCTTGCTCTGTTGCCCAGGCTGGAGTGCAATGGCACAACCACAACTCACTGCAACTTTGACCTCCTGGCCTCAAGTGACCCTCCCACCTCAGCCTTCCAAGGAAGTGGGACGACAGACATGTGTCACCACCACCATGCCCAGCTAATTTTTAATTTTTTTGTAGAGACAGGGTCTTGCTATGTTGCCCAGGCTGGGGTTCAGTGGCATGATCATGGTTCACTGCTGTCTCAGACTCCTGGGCTCAGGTGATCCTCAGGGGCCACTGTTTTGAACTGGGCTCCTGCGCTGGGTCCTAGAAGACCAGACCCAACCAGAATGGAGTCACTGGTGCTAATGAAACCAAGGGGTTCACTGATCAGGTCAGCCTGCCCTGATTGCTTTTTGTTATTTTGTTTTTCCTTTTTCCATGAAGCTGAAGGCTGTGCCTCTGAATGCTGACGCCCACCCTTCACTGGCTCTTTATAGATAATATTCACAGGTCACCATGGGACTGGTCGCTTCAGGAATGTGGGGCAGCTCCTGTCCAGCTGAAACCAGTTGAGACCATCTGCCCTTCAAGTGGACCTGTCCCAGTGCCCGAGGTGGCCTTTTGATGTGAGAGGGCCAAAACTTCCAACCTCAGATCATGCTAAGGCTGCCGTTTCTGGTACCTGTGTCCTGTGAAATGCCATGCACCCCGACGACACCTGCACAGAATGGGCCTGCTGGACCACCCTGCCTCCGTAGTTCATAAAGACTCCCAAGCTGTATCACTTGGGAGGCAGGTTTAAGAGCTGTTCTCCCTCCTCTTCACTCAGTGGCCTTGCAAATAAATCTTTTCTCTTAGCTGGGTGCAGTGGCTAACGCCTGTAATCCCAGTGCTTTGGGAGGCTGAGGCGGGAAGATAGTTTGAGCTCAGGAGTTCAAGGCCAGCCTGGGCAATAGCAAGACCTTGTCTCTACAAAAAAAAAAAAAAAAAAAAAAAAAAAAGCTGGTCTTGGTGGCAAGTGCCTGTAGTCCCAGCTACTCAGGAGGTTGAAGCAGGAGGATCACTTGAGTCCAGGAATTTGAGGCTGCAGTGAGCTATGATTGCATCACTGTGCTCCAGCCTGGGCCACAGAGCGACTCTGACTCAAGAAAAAAACAAAAAATAACAACAAAGATCTCTAAATCTGTTTTAATTTTGTGTTTTGACAGGCATTAGGATTAAGGTTAACTAAAGGCCATTGAGAACCCGCAGAAGCAGGAAAACCTGTTTGCCTCCCCCATTAGCTGCCTAAAAAAATAAAGTGCCTGGCCTGGCGCGATGACTTATGCCTGTAATCCCAGCACTTTGGGAGGCCGAGGCAGGCAGATCACCTGAGGTCAGGAGTTCAAGACCAGCCTGACCAACATGGTGAAACCCCATCTCTACTAAAAGTACAAAAGTTAGTCGGGCATGGTGGTGGGCACCTATAGTCCCAGCTGCTTGGGAGGCTGAGGCAGAAGAATTGCTTGAACCCGGGAGGCAGAGGTTGCAGTGAACTGACACCGCACCATTGGATTCCAGCCTGGGCAACAAGAGTGAAACTCCATCTCAAAAAAAAAAAAAAAAAAAATTAAAAAGTGCCCTTTCATGAAGGAATTTCCAGTGGTCAAGGCATCTATACCAGAAAGAGAGTTCCAAAAACAACTCTTCACCTGAGACACTTGTTTAAATACTTAACCAACATCACCTGCCTCCCCAGCCCAGAGGCCCCCAAGCCCTATTCCTTTGTGGTGCTGACCTACGCCCCTGCCCTCTGGCTGCCTCCTTTGTGGTATTGAGCCCCCACCTTCTGGCTGCCTCCTTTGTGGTACTGAGCCCCCGCCCTCTGGCTGCCTCCTTTGTGGTACTGAGCCCCTACCCTCTGGCTGCCTCTTTGAGTCTGATTTTTGAGGCCCCTTCTCTCCACCCTATGTGTGCATCTGTAATTTAAAATTGCCTTTTTATCTTTTTCTCTGCTGTTCATCTGTCTTAAGTCAGTTTCATTCTGAGGCCAGCCACAGAACCTAGAAGGGTAGAGGCAACTTTCTTCTTTTCCTGCCACTGCGGCAGCATATCCCCACGGGCAGACACAGACGTGGAAATGCAGGAAGATGGAGCAGCAGCAGGAAAGGGACTGGACAGCCCTGGGCACCCACCTGCCACTCGGCTAAGCTCTGCTCCTCCCTGGCCTGCAGATTCCCTGTCCTGGTGATCTGCTCCCGAAGGTACTCCATGTCCTCCTCCAGCTTCAACTGTGGGACACACAAACCGCAGGATTTGGGATCAGCGATCCCCCTACCTCCTGCCTAGAGTCCAGTTGTGCTCGCTGAAACTGCACCCACCCCAGAGACCCTCCTCAGGAGGGGCAGGGGATCAAAATACGTCACCCAGAATGTGCCACCTTGGATTATTTTGAGCTGAAGGCACTTAAAAAAGGGCAGGTGTAAGAATTGCTGTGACCCTCGGCCTTCCTAAGAGCAGAAGGCACAGCCACCATGCCAGAGAGGACTGCCCTAGGCCAGGAGGAAAGCCATGTTCTTACCAAGGGCGGGAAAGCCGAAACCAGAGAAATCTGTGCAAAGGGACCCTGCTAAACTAACCCTCATCCTCCTCAGGTACATGTTTGGCTCTAACATGCTTCCATGGGCCTCTGGCTCCTTGGGAGCGACTCCTGGGTCATGGAAAGCTTACAGGGAATGAATTTCAGTGCTTTGCTTCTGCTTATCTGTCTCAAATCAGTTTGGTTCTCAGAGCCACCCAAAATACTCTGAGAGGAGAGGTAAGATTTTGCAATGCCTGCATCATACAGTGTAGGCCCACATTGTCCCCAGGGACACCCCTACCCAGCCACAGGCCACCTTGTCCCCTGGATGCCTCCTCCCCAGCCCCTGACTCGGGCCACTTTGTCCCTGGACACCTCCTCCCTCCCCCATGATCTGGGTCACCTTGTCCCCCTGGATGCCTCCTCCCCGGCCCCTTGACCTGGGCCCCGATGTGGCCTACCTTGTACCCCTGCACTGCCTCCTCGGCGGGCAGCACCCTGTGCAGCCGGTGCTCCCGGGACTCCCTGCACACCACACAGATGGGGCTCTGGTCCTTCTGGCAGAAAAGCTTGAGGGGCTCGTGGTGCTCCTGGCACAGGTCTTGCTTCTGCAGACCAGGATGCTGCTGCGCCATCTCGGCCACCTTGGTCAGCAGCCGGTTGGGCAGCAGGTTCCTCTGCGGGGACATCTCTCTGCACTCGGGGCAGGGGAAGGAGCCCTTCCGCTTCCGCCTCCCCTTCTTGCCCCTCGCCTTTTCCCAGCTCAGCTGGATGCAGGCTCGGCAGAAGTTGTGGCCACAGGTGGTCATCACAGGGTCTGTGAAGTAATCCAGACAGATGGAGCACGTAGCTTCCTCCTGCAGTTTTCTGGCGAGTTCCACAGCCTCCATGGCTCCTGGGAGACACGAGGCAGGTTCCCGCTTGAGGGACTCTGGAGAGAGTTGGAGGGAGCAGCCCGATGATCTGGGCGCCGGCAGTGTGCAACCGTCCTGTACAGCCTCCCTTTACAGAGGAGGGCTAGGACTGCAGTCCAGTTAGAGAGTCCAGAGTCATCATTTTTAGCCTTGTCAACAACAGACACAGATGCCTCCCCAGAAACTACACAGACCCTCCCTGACCAATGCTCTGCAGGCCCCTCCGCCTCTCCTCTCCACTGGGCCTGGACCCTACCCGTCCACTTCCGCCTGCTGCTGGCTACCCCCAGCTCCACATCTCATCAGCTCCTCCTCCCCGACAGACCGTTGCCGGCTAGGCCTTCAACCTGCCTTTCTGGAGAAGCCTGCTAGGTCAGCTTAGGGAGAAGCCCCTACCCTTGGAGCCTTCCCTTAATCACTTTCCATCCACTGACCCCACCCAGATCCCCACTCCAACTCCCCCATACATCCCCAGCTGTCTTTGCTGGCGCAACTCTCCCATTGCAAGTAGCCTGACTAAAGAGCCTTTCAAATGTCAGAATTTTTTCTTTAACAAAACCCCGTACACCAAAGGAAGAAGGGATGGGCTATCAGAGGAAAAAAGCTCTCTTCCATTCGGTAGTGAGGTGGGGTTCAGAAAAAACACGCGTGTGCATGTACGCACAGACGAACACCCATACACATACCCATGTATGTATACAAACGTGCATGTGCACACACGCATACCCACGCATACACACCACACAAATACAAACATGTACGCACAGAAACACTGATCCACAAACACAGCACACACAGGCACAGATGCACATATCGGTAAACATACATGCATGTACACACAGGTACACGCGCGCACACACGCACAGGCACACAAGCATGCACATAGATGCCCCCTGCAATCTCAACACTCGCGACCCCACGCAGTGGAGATCTACAGACTTTCGCCTACGCCACGGGGTTGCTATGGGGACCGAGTTGCAGAAGGAGTTGAAAATCGCGTCTACACTGCAAGCACGATTCTCCCCTTCCGTTCTGCCATCCCCTAAAGCGAGGGCGTCTAGGGGTCTCAGACTTCCCCGGCTCTGTCCCACGTCCAGTTTCTCGGAGCTTTCTGCACGCCAACCACCCGGCGCCAGCCCTCCGACTCCCCCCAAGAGCCCTAACGGAGGCACCCAGCCCACCCTGACCGAAGCCGGGCAGGGACAGCGGCAGCGGGCCTGGGGCTCTGGCTCTGGCTGCCGGGATGGCTGTCCTTCCCGCTCTGGTCCGCTAGGGTCCCGGTAGAGTTACCTTGTTGAAGCGCGCTAGCCCCTCCAGGGACGCGGCGGCCGGCGGAGGCGGGAAGGCCGGGCGTTGGAGGGCGAGGAGGACCGGGTTAGGCTTAGGTCGTGGCCCAGGCGCCACAGGAGGGTAGCCTAGGCGGCGGGGTGGGGGCTACTCACCGCGGGGAAGGGGGGCCCGCACAGCGCCTAGTGCACCTGGCCGAGCGCTCGCTGCCGGGAAAGGCTGGGTCTGCCCCCACGAAGCCCAGGAGGCTGCGGCCCGGCCCGGGGCGTGGGGACCTGGGGTCGGGAGGCCTAGGGACTTTGTGGCGTCAGCGGGGGCTGGGGGGCGGCGGGGGAGGGGAATGCTGGGCGAGGGAGTGTTCGGCGGCCGGGACTGGGGCGGCGCCTCTTAGGAGAGGTTGGGGGTGGCTTGGGGAAGGAAGGCGGCAGGGGGTGGAAGGCTCTGGACGAGCCGGGGACAGGCGCAGCGGGTGCTGACTGGGCGGTGGGGAGGATGTGGTCCACAGCCCAGCGAAGGGAGGAGTCTTGTTGGCCTGGGGTGGGACTTTTAGGGGAGGTTAAGGGAGTGTGGAGGGTGGGGAGTTGGGGGGTTACTTGGGGGTGGGGAGTGGAATGGGGACAGCTGGTGGGGCTAGGGGCGGGCAGGCGAGCGTCAGGGTGGGGGGAGTGGGATTGGAAGAGGCTTCTCAACCTGGGGTTGGGGCTGCGGGAGGGCACGCGAGCCCCAGGCTGGAGGGTTAGGTGAGGGGCTAAGTTGGTCGGGGTAGGGGATGGAGAGGAGTTTGTGTGGGCTGGGGTGGGGGCGAGGCAGCAGGAGCGAGTGCCTGTTGAGAAGCTATGAAGGGGGTCCCCAGGAGCAGCCAGTCAGCCGCCAGGTCTGCCCACATGGTTGGCAGTCAGCATCAGGCTGAGGGTACAGGGAGGGGCGTCCCAATCCTGTGGGCGGACCAGTTTGGAGGGACCACCTGGCAGGTCAGGTCCCCTAGAACCAGGCGGGACGGGGTGGGTCTTGCCGACACCCCAGGTGGTTTTGTTACCAGAAACAGGTCCTGATCCAGACCCCAAGAGAGGGTTTTGGATCTTGGGCAAGAAAGAATTCGGGGCAAATCCATAGAGTAAAGTGAAAGCAAGTTTATTAAGAAAGTAAAGGAATAAAGAGTGGCTACTCCATGGGCAGACCAGCCCCCAGGGCTACAGGTTGCCCATTTTTATGGCTATTTACTGATTATATGCTAAATAAGGGGTGGGGTATTCATGAGTTTCCCAGAAAAGGAAGGGCAATTCCAGAAACTGAGGGCTCCTCCCCTTCTTAGACCATATAGGGTAACTGTGACCTTGTCTTGGCATCTGTAAACTGTTGTGGCACTGGTGAGGGTATCTCATAGCATGCTAACGTATTAAAATTAGCATATAATGAGCAGTCATGATAACCAGAGGTTATTCTGGTCGCCATCTAGGTTTTGGTGGGATTTTGCTGGCCTCTTCACCACATACTGTTTCATCAGCAAGGTCTTTATGACGTGTATCTTGTGCCAACCTCCTATCCCATCCTGTGACTTGGAATGTCTAACCTCTGGGGAATGCAGCCCAGCAGGTCTCAGAATTATTTTACCCAGCCTCTATACAAGATGGAGTTGCTCTGGTTTAAAAGTCTCTTACGGTTTCAGCCAAAATGCCGCCCCCAGCCCTGCCCAGGTCCTGACTGGTGGCCATTTCTCCTGGCCTTGAGTCCCCACGCCTAGTCATCACGCTTCATCCTCCAGTAGAGGGATGCACCTTTCACATGGAGGGTTCATCTCCTGCTTTCAGGAACAGGAGCCAGAGGCCTGCGTGCCCTGAGTCAGAGTCCTGGGATTGGAGAGAGAGGACAGATGAAGAAACTAAGGCTTGGCCCACACAGGGGGTGCAGACAGGCAGGAAAACAGGGCCTTGAAGGCTAAGAGGCACCATTCTGCAATCTCCTGGGTGTGCGGGTGTAGACAGCTGGCCACAGGCATAGATGGCTGGCTTTCCCTGGGCTCACTCGGTAGAGTGTTTCTTCTGTGGTCTCTCATCACTCGCACACACAAAGGGGTCTGTGTGCTGTCAGGTGCGGGCTGGCTGCGCACACTGGCCGATTAAGTGAATTACCCTTGTGAACCCAGAATATCTGAGGCTAGTTTAAGTCAATTAGGAAGTTTATTTTGCCAAAGTTAAGGACACACGCCCATGACACAGCCATGTGCCCAAGGTGGTCCGAGCACAGCTTGGTTTTATACATTTTAGGGAGACATGAGACATCGATCAATATATGTAAGATGAACATTGGTTCCATCCAGAAAGGCGGGACAACTGGAAGTGGGGAGGGGGCTTCCAGGTCATAGGTAGATAAGAGACAAATGTTTGCATTCTTTTGAGTTTCTGATTAGCCTTTCCAAAAGAGGCAATCAGATATACATTTATCTCAGTGAGCAGAGATATGACTTTGAATAGAATGGGACGCAGGTTTGCTCTAAGCAGTTCCCAGCTTGACTTTTCCTTTTAGCTAGTGATTTTGGGGCCCAAGATTTATTTTCCCCAATAAATTGGGGATTGGGCAGACCCAATCCTCTGCCTGTCATTTGCATCAGTGAGGGGATTGTGAGCTGCAGGTTTCCTTCAATTGGGAAAACAGAATCACAGAATTAGAGGGGAAATGGAATATATCTATATCTTGCATAGCACCACACATGTCCTAGTCACCTGCTGACACGTTATCACCCTTTGTTACAAATGGTTTACAAGCAGCTGAGCCTAACAACTTCTTTGGGTTTTCACTTCTTTCCTGTACACCCCATGCATATAAAAATATTAAGATCAATACAACATGGATGCCTTTCTCCTGTTCGTCTGTCTTTGGTCAATTTAATTCACAGTCTCCTCCCATACTAGCATGATGTGGGGAATTCAACAAATACTTGTTAAAATGTGGCATCAGCCCAGGATGCTCATTATTAATGCTTTTTAGGCTCACCTGGTTATTGAGCTGAGAAATCTATCATCATGATAAAACAATTGGAATAACCTTCATATCCTCAAGTCATTAAGAAAAAATCAGATAGCAGTTATGTGTCCTGATAAATTGTTAGGTTTAATAAAAGGCAGGATGTACAGTATATGTAGTCTGCCACTATTTAGGTAAACATAATTACTGTATATGTATCTCTTGGAAAATATACAAGAAATAAACAAGAAACTCCATCTGATGAGGGAAATTAAGGGCTGAGGAACCCCCTAATTGAGGGAGGCTCAATTTTCACTATATATCCTTTTGGAATTCTTAAATTGAATTCTACTTTAATAATTTAATTCTTAAATTAAATACCACTGCTGTGGATTGTGGTTTTTTTTTTCAAATTATTTAAGCAAAGGATCAGCAATGTCAGTCTTGAAACACAAGTCTTACTTACACTGCTACAAGGTAAATATCCTTTGCCCTTACTGAATGCAGCCCCCACTAAGTTATTAACATTGTAGAAAAGATTCGAGAGCAAAATTTAAGTGCTCATGCAATTTAAAATAGGCTGAATTAAATGGAAAAGAAGAGGGGCTCCTGAAAATAGGGTAAGAGAGCCATGGCCTCTTTATGTCTTCAATTCAGACTGCTCAACAGGAGAGTCCACTGAGCCACAGAAAAACAAATCCGGATTGTTATGAACTGAATGTCTGTCTCCAAAATTCACATTTTGAAATCCTCACCTCCAAGGTGATGGTGTTAGGAGATGGAGTTCTTTGGAAAGTAATTATGCCATAAGGGTGGAGCCTTCATGAATAGGATTGGTGCCTTTCCAGAGATTTATTTTCACCTTACCCCTTGCACCACATGAGGACGCAGTGAGAAGGCCCTGTCTGTGAACCAGAAAGCAGAATCTCACCAGAAGCTCAATCTGTTGGCACCGTGACCTTGGACTTGCCAGCCACCAGATCTGTGAACAATAAATTCCTGTCGCTTATAAACCACCAAGCCATAGCATTTTGTTATAGCAGCCTGCATAGACTAAAACGAAAGAAGACAGATTAATGGGAGAAAGCATACACATTTCATTTGTACATGTACATGGGAGCCTTCACAGCAAAATGAAGACCTCAAGAGTAGTTAGGCCTAAGTGCTTATCCACTGGATGGAACAAAGGGTAGTAATTGTGAGAAAGCAACTGGAATACCTAGGGAGGCTGGGGAAGGTAAGAGCTATTTTTGTTTGTTTGTTTGTTTGTTGGAGACAGAGTCTCACTCTGTCACCCAGCCTGGAGTGCAGTGATGTGATCGTGGCTCATTGCAACCTCCACCTCCTGGGTTCAAGCAATTCTTCTGCCTCAGCCTCCCAAGTAGCTGGGACTACAGGTGCGCGCCACCACACCTGGCTGATTTTTTTTGTTTGTTTTGTTTTTTTAGTAGATACGGGGTTTCACGTTGGCCAGGCTGGTCTGGAACTCCTGACCTCAGGTGATCTGCCTGCCTTGGCCTCCCAAAGTGCTGGGATTACAGGCATGAGCCACTCTACCTGGCGATAAGAGCTACTTTAACAAAGCCTGTTTGTATACATTTTGCTGCACTTCAGTCCCCATGCCTAGTCATGCTGTTTCTCCCTGCTGGTAGAGGCAAGCACCTTTCCCATGGAGGGTTCATCACCTGCTTTCAGGAAAAGGGGTCAGAGGGCCCTTCTTACACCTGCTGTTCTTCAAGTGCCTTCAGCTCAAAATAATTCTTATATCAAATCTGCATATTTTGGGGAGGTCTATTCTGCTATCTTGTTGGGAGCTGAAAGCCTGAGGGTCGTGACCAACTCAGCATTCCACTGGAGGCTATATGACTAAACAGCAAACTGTTTATCATGAATGCAGGATGTGGGCAAACTCGCATCTGTGCCTGCCACCAGAAGGTACGCTGAGGGCCTCATTCCCTGGCTCTGTGCTCCTTGAGGTTATCTACTGGGACATCTGGAGCCTACTGTTCAAAGAATGCAGTCATGCAGGCCTGCACTAAGTCAAGCAGCTGACCACAACCACCCCCTTATCCCTGTCTCCTTTACTTAATAAGAAGGGCTCTAGAAGCTCAGGGCCCTTGTTCACTAGAAGCAAGGAGCCCCCTGACCCCTTTTTCCAAATATACTCTTTTGTCTTTGTCTTTATTCCCACTTTTGTCCTCCTTTGTTCAGTCCACCAAGGCCCATAGCACTATCTCTTAATGCCTAACTCTCCTTTCTATTATTTCTGGAATTTTAACTTTTTGATATTTAGAACCACTCTTTCCACTTTTATAAACACTGCATGCTCAGGCTACCTCCATAGTGTACATGCGCTCGAAGAGTTGAGTACACAGTGAACAGATATCCACATTTCAGTTACTATCTCACATCGTTAGAACCCACAGGATACAGAAGCAAAGGCTCTGGTCGTAATTGTAAGGGTCTGGCTCTGTTGCCCAGAATGGAGTGCAGTGGTGTGATCACGGCTTACTGCTCACTGTAACCTGGAACTCTTGGGCTCAAGCGATCTTCCCACCTCAGCCTTCTAAGTAGTTAAGACCACAGGCACACGCCATCATGCCCAGATAATTTTTGTATTTTTTGTAGAGACAGAGTCTTGCCATGTTGTCCAGGCTGGTCTTGAACTCCTTGGCCTCAAGAAATCCTCCCATCTCAGCCTCCCAAAAAGCTGGGATTATAGGCATGAGCCACTATGCCTGGCTGGAAAGACTTCCTCAAGTGCCCACTTACACGACCCAGAAAGACTTCAGTTACTTTTTTCCTGTGTCTAAACTTCCTTCCTTAGCTCCTCACCTTAGGTCCTCAGCAATCAGTTCTGAGATACAAATTGCCCTGTATTGCCTTGCTGTATCTTTATAGGGCACAATTAGTGCACTATCCACTCCATTAATCAGTGAAAACAAGGAACATATAAGGCCAAGCTCTTGTTTTTTGTTGTTGTTGTTGTTGTTTTTGTTATTGTTGTTGTTTTTGACAGGGTCTGTTGCCCAGATTGGCCTCAAAAACTCCTGGGCTCAAGCCATCCTCTCGCCTCCCCAGTAGCTAGGATTACAGGCATGTGCCACACTGCCCAACTTAGACTCTGTTCTTCATACAAAGACCAGAATGACAGGGGGCTGCTTAAGTGGCTTGGTCTCCTACAGAAGGCAAAGCTTGATCATGATCCTGTCAAGAATGCATTATCTGCATCCAGTTCCGCAAATGTAGCTAACTGCCCAAATTCCTGCTCCCTCCAGGCTATCCAGCAAGATCATCAGCAAGGTTACATAGGTTTAGCTCTCCACCACTGGGCAAGACTTTGTTAGGACAAGGGCTTTGTAAAGCACAGAAGACTTGAACTTCACCTGCTCGGGAGGCTAAGGCAGGAAGATGGCTTGAGCCCAGGAGTTCAAGGCTGGCCACTATGCTCACGTCTGTGAATAGCCACTGTACTCTAGCCTGGGCAGCATGGCAAGACCCTGTCTCTGAAAAAACAAAACAAAAAGGGAAAACTTAAATTTATCCCAAAGGAGTCTAGTATTGAAAGTCAGAGCTGACTTTCAAAACCAGAACATAGCTGTCCCTGAATATTCTAGGCTTTCTGGATAGCCCTCCAAGGATCTGGCACTCATAAGTTTAAATACATCCTGAGATTTAAAGGGTATGATGTTCAGTTGTGTGTGTACTAATAAATTGATGAAGCTTTTGAATTTTGAGTCAACAGGCTATAAATTGGGTTCAAAGAGACTTATAAAATCCACTGTTGCCTATTGATAGCACTTTATGCACATCCCTTGCTATGTATAAGAGCACCTTTTACTATCATTGCTTCTACACACAATACAGGCCCCCTTCACTCAAGCATAAGCACCTTGAAAGCAGAGTGGGCAGCAGCCACAGGAAATGGATTTTATTCCCTCCATGATCCCAGCATGGGGTAGTGCTTGGCCTCATTCAATTTAATAAAGCCTTTCACAAATAAATGATTCCAACCTGTACCAGAGGGAGACAATCCCTACATCCTTATCCTCACAGCCATCCTCAGGTTTTCCTGACATAAGTCTACTATTGGATCTGTGGCCTGCTGCCCTAGCTGTAGGATTTCTCAGCAAGTTGGTCTCTGTGTCTCTCATCCCCAGAGCACTGCCAGACTACTTTGTGGCGCTGGGAAGCCTGTTTCAAAGTGCTGGGCACATGGGCCACGCCTGTCTGCGACTGCTCAGTAAACTGACTTCCAGGGCAGAGTGCCCTCTTTGAACTTTGGGCTGGGGTTTCCCAGTATTGATTTCACTTAGGAATTAACAATGCACATGCCTAGCTGGGCTTCTCACACACAACTAGCTAGTCATCTACCCTAACAGAAGACAGGGTGAATTTACAACATACATGACTAGCCAGCCTTTTAACTGAATGGGAGATTGGGTATGTTAACACATACAATGAGATGGACTTCTAACCCGAGATGGGCCAACACCACAGCTACATATGTGTGCACATGGGTGCACGTGCACACACACACACCCCTAGCCAGCCTTCTAACCTAATGGGAGATAGCCCAAGTTAAAAAGATACACAACTAGCCAGCCTTCTAAATTAACAGGAGGTAGGCTGAGTTAAAACACACAAGTAGCTGGACTTTTTTTTGTTTTTTTTTTTGAGATTGAGTCTCGTTCTGTTGCCCACGCTGCAGTGCAGTGGCATGATCTTGGCTCACTGCAACCTCCGCCCCCTGGGTTCAAGCAGTTCTCCTGCCTCAGCCTCCCAAGTAGCTGGGATTACAGGTATGCGCCACCAAACCCGGCTAATTTTAGAGATGGGGTTTCACCATGTTGGCCAGGCTGGTCTGGAACTCCTGACCTCAGGTGATACACCCGCCTCGGCCTCCCAAAGTGCTGGGATTACAGGCGTAAGCTGCTATGCTGGTGAAGTAGCTGGACTTCTAACTTAAAATAGGCCAAGATAATACATACTACTTGCTGGCCTTAACAGGAGATGGGCTGTCAAGGCAGAAGACTAGCTGGACTGGTAACCTCACTGGAAACAAGCTGCGTGTACACACACACACACACACGCAGGACTTCTAACCTAATTTGAAAGAGGCTGAGCTGAGAACACACAAGACCAGCCAGCCTTCCAACCTAACTGTAGATAGGCTGAGTTGACACAACTAGCTGGGGTTGCTTACCTAACTGGAGATAGACCAATTAGGCTACCCTCAACACCCCGTCCCCAAAACAGACCAACCATGATTCTTATCTAAACGGATAGGCCAAGTTAGCCCCACACACTACTAGCTGGATTTGTGACTGGAGACAGGCTGAGAGGTAACGCGTGTGAGTAGCTGGCCTCCTAACTGGACAGGGTGAACACAGGATTCACCAGCCTCCCACCCTAATCAGAAGTAGGTAAGCCAGCACAGGCCAGCGGAAGGAACCCCCCGAAACCCAAGAGACTAGCTTGCTACAGCAACTCTTCGACCAGGTGGGTGGCTCTTAAAAGAGCCTTTGGGGTGAACGTTGCGCAACCTCTCAGGTGGCGAGATAGCCCTCCTAGGCCCGCTCCCCGCGGATACGGCGTGCCAGCTGGATGTCCTTAGGCATGATGGTGACCCGTTTGGCATGGATGACACACAGGTTGGTGTCCTCAAACAGCCCCACCAGGTAAGACTCGCACGCCTCCTGCAGCGCCATCACGGCCGAGCTCTGGAAGCGCAGGTCGGTCTTAAAGTCCTGAGCGATCTCGCGCATCAGCCGCTGGAAGGGCAACTTGCGGATTAGCAGCTCAGTGGACTTCTGGTAGCGGCGGATCTCGCGAAGCGCCACCGTGCCGGGCCGGTAGCGGTGCGGCTTCTTCACGCCGCCAGTGGCAGGTGCGCTCTTGCGAGCCACCTTGGTGGCCAGCTGCTTGCGCGGCGCCTTGCCACCCGTTGACTTGCGCGCAGTCTGCTTGGTTCGGGCCATGAATCCGAAACTGTTGGCCCCGCGGTGTCCTCTGCCCAGACCTCAGCGGATTGCTCGCTTTTATAGAGCTTGCCGCGTTCCCATTGGCTGGCCTCAGGTGGCGTGATGGCCCACTGCTCTCTGATTGGCCCACAGGGAACTCCACTCGGGCGCCTCTCCCTTATATTCATGCCTGTTGGTCGTGGCCACCAGAGCTGGCACCAGCATTGTGAAGGGTTGATGCGGGTAGGCCGCGGTGGTGGGGATCATCTCTCTCCAGCACAAGCTTCCTCATGTCTTCTCAGCGCTCCTCTTCTCCCTTCCCCATGACTTGGGTGGCAAGAGCCTTCCAGAAGCCAGCACATGGCATTCCACTTTTTTAAAAAATTAATTTATTTTTTTATTTTTTGAGATGGAGTTTCACTCTTGTTGCCCAGGCTGGAGTGCAATAGCGTGATCTCTGCTTACTGCAACCTCCACCTCCCAGGTTCAAGCGATTCTCCTGCCTCAGCCTCCCGAGTAACTGGAATTACAGGGATTACAGGTGTCCGCCACCATGCCTGGCTAATTTTTTGTGTTTTTAATAGAGATGGGGTTTCACCATATTGGCCAGGCTGGTCTCGAACTCCTGACCTCAGGTGATCCACCCGCCTCGGCCTCCCAAAGTGCTGGGATTACAGGCATGAGCCACCAGGCCCAGCTGGCATTTCACTTTTTTTTTTTTTTTTTTGAGACGGAGTCTCTCTCTGTCGCCCAGGCTGGAGTGCAGTGGCGCAATCCCAGCTCACTGCAAGCTCCGCCTCCCGGGTTCACGCCATTCTCCTGCCTCAGCCTACAGAGTAGCTGGGACTACAGGTGCCCGCCATCATGCCTGGCTAATTTTGTTTTGTATTTTTAGTAGAGACGGGGTTTCACCATGTTAGCCAGGATGGTCTCGATCTCCTGACCTCGTGATCCGCCCGCCTCGGCCTCCCAAAGTGTTGGGATTACAGGCGTGAGCCAGCGTGCCCGGCCGGCATTCCACTTTTACACAGTGACAAAGCTCTGGGATGCAGCCAGAGTTAAAGGAATCTCCCACTTTTTATGACCTGCAAAGAACTCCCTTACCTGTACGGCTTAGATGAGCCTTAGGATTCTGAAGAAGGTAAAGATGTGCCTTTCTGGCATATTGTCTATTTTGAGATAAAGGCACTTAAAAAAAAAAAAGAAGAAGCAGGTGTAGGAAGATCATTCTGAATTTCTTGTTGTTTCTTAAATACAAGAGATGAAATTCCCATATGAAAGATGTTCTCCTTATAGTAAAAGCAAGGGAACGTTCTTATCATCAAGGACGGGAGGTGGAAGCTTCCAAATCTCCTCCAACTCTCAAGTTGAAATTTGATCCCTAAAGTTGGAGCCCAGGGAGGGGGGGGCCAGTGGGAGGTGTGTGGGTCCTGGGGTGTCACCCTCTGAATAGAGTCCTGCCCTCCTTTAGGGTGAGTTTTCACTCTGTTGGTTCCCTGAAGAGCTGGTGTTGAAAAGAGCCTGGCACCCCTCTCCCCTCTCTCTCTGGCGTCCTCTCTCGCGGCAGCCCTGTGACCTCTGCACATACATGGGTTCCCCTTCACCTTCCACCATGAGCAGAAGCAGCCAGAGGCCCTCACCAGAAGCAGAGGTGGGCCCTATGCTTGCTTCCTTCCTTTCTCCCTCCCTCCCTTCCTTTCTCCTTCCCTCCCTTCCTCACTCCCTCCCTTCCTTTCTCCTTCCCTCCCTTCCTTTCTCCTTCCCTCCCTTCCTTTCTCCTTCCCTCCCTTCCTTTCTCCTTCCCTCCCTTCCTCACTCCCTCCCTCCCTTCCTTTTTTTCTTCTCCCTTCCCCTCCCCTCCTTTCCCTCCTTTTTTCATCTTGCTCTGTTGCCCAGGCCCCTCTTACCTCAGCCTCCCAAGTAGCTGGGACCACATCCAGCTAATTTTTAAATTTTTAATTTTTTTGTAGAGATGGGCTGTCATTATGTTGCCCAAGCTGGTCTTGAATTCCTGAGTTCAACTGATCCCCCGACCTTGGCCTCCCAAAGTGCTAGGATTACACCGTGCCCGGCCACTATGCTTTTTTTTTTTTAATTTTTTGACCTGAGTCTCACTCTGTTGCCCAGGCTGGAGTGCAGTGATGTGATCTCAGCCCACTGCAACATCCGCCTCCCGGGAAGTTCAAGCGACTCTCCTGCCTCAGCCTCCTGAGTAGCTGGGATTACAGGCGTGAGCCACTGCGCCCAGCCACTGTGCTTCTTGTACAGCCTGCGAAACCATAAGCCAAATAAACCTTTTTTTTTTTTAATAAATCATCCAGCCTCAGGTATTCCTTTAACAACATGAAACAGACCAAGATAGAAGCCAAGAGAAATCTATACAAACAAACTTTATTAAACTAACCCTTATCTTCCTAGTTGTTGCCACAGTTACTACTCTTTGTTCAACCTAGTGTGTAAGTATTTTGACTTAGTCATTTCTTCACCCCATTAACTATCCTCACTCAAGCCCCGTGGCCGTATCAAATCTCACAACTTAATAGTGTTTGTCCACCTCTGTATATAAGTGACTCTAACTGCCTCTTTGCATCTTCATTTCCTTATGAGGGCTCCTGTACCACATTAAATTTGTATTAAATAACTGTATGTTTTTCTCCTGCTCATCTCTCTAATGTCAGTCTAATTCTTGGGCCCACCCTGGACCCTAAGATAATGGAGGTAGAATTCTGCCTCCCCTACAGCGCCCCTTGTTGATGCATGACAGGCCCACTGTCTTTGTCTGTTTTGCGTTGCTGTAAAGGAATACTAGAAGCTGGGTAATTTATCAAAACTTTTTTTGGCTTATGGTTCTGCAGGCTGTATAAGAAGCAAGGCTTCAGCATCTGCTTCTGATGAGGACCTCAGGAAGCCTCCATTCATGGTGGAAGATGAAGGGGAGCCCCTGTGTGCAGAGGTCACAGGGAAAGAGAGAGGAGGAGGTGCCGGGCTGTTTTTAACAACCAGCTTTGGCAGGAACTAATAGAGCAAGAACTCCACTCCCTACAAGGGAGGGCAGGAGTCTATTCATGAAGGATCTGCCCCCAGGACCCAAGCACCTCCCACCAGGCTGCACCTCCAACACTGGAGATTAAATTTCAACATGAGAATTAATGAGACAAACACCTTATTCAAACTATAGCACCCACTACATTGCCATCTTTGCCTTATCAATGATTACCTGAACTCCTTGTCCCCATGCGTCAATCCACACAAGATGCTTGTTTGCCCAGCCTTGGTTCAGCTTCTCCCCTCCCCCAACGCCCTGATGTTTGGCCTCTCCTGGAGCAGGCCAGGCTCAGGGTAAAGTATCCTCAATCTCTTGTCCCCTCAGCCACCCTTCATCCCACTTCCCCAGACGTGGTTCTTTCCAGCCTCATTCATTCCTCCCTATATAAGAAAACTCCTTCTCTGCGTCACCTTTGGGAGCTTGCAGACATTAAGGTCAATGCTTTCTCCCTATTGCAGTATTCTGGTATCTCCTATTGCAATATCCTTTTGCATAAAGATATCTCCTTACTAAATCTGGATTGGTTTTTTTATTGGACAGTGGTTGTTACACAGAAGGCCTGCTGCCCTCTGCTCATCGGGTCTGGTTGGCTGGGCAGACAGATGGAAGGACCCTAGGACCATCCACCTGTGAAGTCCACCCAGGCTCGCCCCTGGTGTAAATGATGTGGGGTCTGACCTGGCCAGACCAGATGCTGCTCAACCCTTTAACTGCCTGGGAGGATTTGGACACGTTCCATCTTCCTGGAGCTGTCCCTCACTCGAGAGAGGCAGCCTTGGGACTCTCCAGGTGTCCTTAGGGCTAACGGGGCTGATGATGGGCGGATGATGGATTCCAGGCACCTGCTGCGACCTCCCCAGGAGCACCTGCAAAGCAGCCCTTTCTGCCTCGTGACTCTACCCAGGCCTCCCTGTGGAGTGTGGCACAGGCTTGGCCAGTTCTCCGAGTGCAGCCAAGAGGCTCATAGGTTTTGGGCACATGTCTGCGACCTCACTTTTCCAGTCATAAGGGCTTTTGCTTTTAGATTCTCAGGGGCTTTGAGCTCCCAAACCACCCAGACATAGCACAGGATGCCACCTGGTTCTATGTGTCTGAGCAAACAAATGCACTCACATGAAGCACAGAATAAAGGGCTGCCTAAATGCGGACCCACCCACCCCTGGCAAGGCTTGAAAATAGCCTCTATATTACATGTAAAAGCGCTTTTTAGATGATTAGCTGAACAGTTCATTTTCTTGATCTCCAATCATTGAGTTCTATGTCGTTAAAACCCCTAGAAGGACCAAGACGTAGAGAAAAATGTCCCCTGAAAACTTCCCAAGAGAGATTTCCTCTGCAAACTGAAGAGAATGTGAGATACAAACATTCCCCACAAGGAACTGGTCTGTCGAGGCCACACGCATTCTGTAAATCAGTGCTTTTTCTCTGTCTCCTCGTTTTCTCTCCTTATGGTCTTTGCATGTACAGCTGAGGCAGTAACGGGACTTGTATCCTCGTGTTAAAGTTCTTTGAGATTTGGGGGTCGTACGTGGTTGGTCATATTGCATCATCTCTGTAGGAGCATTCCCATCAGCAAACAATATGCTATCGCTTCTCCAATTTATAAATTGGCTTTTCTCCTTAGTCTGGGCAGCAGCAAGCCTGAAACCATCTGGACTTTCACAAACTCACTGTAAGGGCAGAGATGGGGGTCTTACAGGAACAGGCACTCCTTCTAGGTCTGGGGTAAACAGTGCACAAAGCGATGGTGAGCTCTGTCCTCCTAAGACTCTTCCAAAGCCAGTGTGCACTAGGGTTTCCCACTGTTTGTTAGAAAGAACGCCTTCCCTCTCCATCCAATGTGCCCTTCCATCTGGCATCCCACTTCTCTGGCCCACTCTGCAGGAAACTCCTCACAAGTCCTGTCCATACTGACCATCCCCAAGTTCCATCTTCCCATTCTGTGGGCCTGGTGCATGGTGAGTGCTCCATGTGTGTCCAGGAGGGTGCCAGTGGGAGACGACTTTCAGTACGGTCTGTGGGATGAACCAGTCAGTCCACAGTCACATCATCAATTGGGACGGAGCCAAGTGCCAGTCATCTACCTTGGAGCTTCCAGAAGCTGCAGGAAACACTGACATATCTCTAAAGCAGGGGAGTATGTTGGCTGTAGCCAGTTTTTTTTACAATCGGATCTTTGCTGTGTTCATAGCCACTTTCTAAGGGCCCCAGCGTGGGTGTGTCTCCACTGTCCTGATTCCCCACCGCCTCAATAGTAAAAAAGAATCCTGCCATGTGTTCAGTGTTTTTCTGAAGGATCCTTTATAATGTCTTCTTCTTTCTTTCTTTACTTTTTAAATTTGTCTGCAAAACAAGGTATTAATCTATCCATGATAGAACACACTAAAGCAAATTTTTCTCCTTAAACAGGTAAGATGAACTTCCATCCAGATTGGGTGCTCTAGAATATTTTCTTATTAAGGAGATTTCTTTTCTTGTTCAGTTTGAATAGATGGCAAGAATTCCTCACACCATGAGCTTTTTTTGTTGTCCCATGAACCCCTGTCGCAGTTTGATGAAGCCTATGGATTCTGTCTTAGAAAGACTTTTTTTTTTTGAGATGGAGTCTCACTCTGTCACCCAGGCTGGAGTGCAGTGGTGTGATCTCTGCTCATTGCAACCTCTGCCTCCTGGGTTCAAGCAATTCTCCTGCCTTGGCCTCCTTAGTAGTTGGGACTACAGGGACCAGCCACCACACCTGGCTAATTTTTTTTTTTTATTTTTAGTAGAGACAGGGTTTCACCATGTTGGTCAGGCTGGTCTTGAACTCCTCACCTCAAGTGATCCACCCACCTCAGCTTCCCAAAGTGCTGGGATTACAGGCATGAGCCACCATGCCAGGCCAAAAAGTTTTTAAATGCACAAAAATGTTAAAAAATTATTAATACAAAGGAAATCAATTATATTGAAATAAGTTGTGAAAACATATAAAATTAACTTGTCATAGAGTTATAAATGTGCATCTTTATGAATGCATTAAATAACATTTGAATTAGGAAGTATTTGTAGCTACTGTCATTTCAAAGTCGTGATGGGTGTTAAGGGTCTTCAAAGATATTTGCCATGACTGCACTGTAATAAAACTCCATCCTCTCTCCGCACATCAATTATACTTCTTTCTCAATGTTTTCATGATTGCCCTGGAGTTTGTAATATACATTTACAACCTAAGTCTACTTTTAATAACACTATCCTGCTTCATGATCAGGAGTGGTAGCTCATGCCTGTAATAAATCTCAGCACTTTGGGAGGCCAAGGCCAGCAATGGCTTGAGCCCAGGAGTTTGAGATCAGGGCAACATAGTGGGACCCCGTCTCTACAAAAAATACGAAAAAATAGCCGGGCATGGTGTCATGCAACTGTAGTCCCAGCTACTTGGGAAGCTGAGGTGGGAGGATTCCTTGAGCCTGGGAAGTTGAAGCTGCAGTGAGCTGAGACTGTGCCACTGCACTCCAGCCTGGGCAACAGAGCGAGACCCTGCCTCAAAAAAAAAAAAAAAAAGAGAAGGAGCCAAACGCTGATGCCCCCTAGGCCCAGTGACAGTGCCAGCACAAGGCCTATACAGGCACTTGGCAAATGCGCTGTGTTCTTATTGTTGCAAATGGCCTGTTAGCTTCCCAGGTCACAACGACCCCAAATAACTCCCACACCTGCACCATGCACCCAGTAGGCACTCAATAAACATTGACGTCAGGAATGGTCCGTGTGGGTCTGGTTCTGGTTCTCGTTTGTCTCTTCAGATTGTGTGTTCTTGCCTTTTGGCACGTCTTGTCATTTTGTGTTGAAGCTGGAGATAAAGTATCAGGTAATCAGAACTCTGGTATGGCTGGGGGTGGTGGCTCATGCCTGTAATCCCAACACTTTGGGAGACTAAGGTAGGAGGACTGCTTGAGGCCAGGAGTTCAAGATCAGCCTGGGCAGCATATCAAGACCCCGTCTCTAAAAGAAAAAAAAAATTAAAAAAAAAAAAAACTTAGCTGGGCATGTTCGTGTGTGCCTGTAATCCCAGCACGTTGGGAGGCCAAGGTGAGAGAATCGCTTGAGCCCAGGAGTTTGAGTCTGCAGTGATCTATGACTGTGCCACTGCACTCCAGCCTGGGCCACAGAGTGAGACCCTGTTTAAAAAAAAAAAATCGGGAACATAGGCCGTTAGCGTGAGCATTTACATCATCTGGCTCGAAACTGGGCTCTTTTTCATGTTTATTATAGCCGAAGTTTTGTTTACCTAGGGTCCTTGTTCTCATCTCCCCTCCTGACTTTAAACTTCCCTAAGAGCTCCTTCACACACTGTCCGGTGTATCATAGTGAGGACTAAGCACTGACCTTTTATCTTACCCAAATAAGCTCTCACCTTTTATCTTACCCAAATTCCCACCTACGGGGTCTAGGGAGTCAACCCCTACAAACCATAAATTCTCATCAGATGGGTTTTATTTGACCCTATATATTGTGACTGACTTTTCAATCTGACTCTGGCATAAAATTTTGAGACAAGGAAAAAATATTCAACCCCAAAATATATATTCCTTGCCATGCCTTGAAATTGCCCTGAAAAATCTCTTGTGGGAAAAATCCACATTCTATAGAGAATCCCCTTTCCCCTTTGTTTTCCTTCCTTTCTTTCCAGATCCAGGAGATAATCAACTAAGAGCCAGGCACCCTTTTAAGTCCCATAAGAAACAATTTACAACCTGCTGTCTCTGAAGTTGGCTATCTGAGCACTTCCTCTGCACAATAAAACTTGGTCTCCACAATCCTTTATTTTTAACCTGAACATTTCCTTTCTATCGATCCCAGGTCTTTAGACAAGCTCAACCAATTATCTGCCAGAAAATGTTTACATTTACTTATAGCCCGGAAGCACTTGCTTTGAGTTGTCCTGCCTTTCTGAACCAAACCAATATATTTCTTAATATTTGATTAATGTCTCATGCCTTCCTAAAATATATAAAACCAAGCTGTACCTCAACCACCTTGGGCACATGTTCTCAGGACCTCCTGAGGGCTGTGTCATGGGCCATGGTCACTCATATTTGGCTCAGAATAAATCTCTTAAAATATTTTATGGAGTTTGACTCGCTTGATCAACAGTAGCTCTTTCTGTCAGACTGTACTCACACTGGAGCCTTATGGCGTGGTGGCCGGCCTGGGGTGGAGGAAGCATTCCATAGTGTTATGATGAAATCTCAGCCTCTTATTTGGCCTGTGCCCCTGGACTGTGACCTTCACAGGTGTTTCCTAGCTGCTTTTGTCTCCTTAAGGCTAGAGGTGGCTGAAGTGGAGGGAATACCTTTCTCGAAAGGAAAATAAATCTGAAAGGAAAATAAATCTTGGTGCCCCAGAATCACTAAGCTAAAGAGAAAAGTCAAGCTGGGAACTGCTTAGGGCAAACCTACCTCTCATTCTATTCAAAGTCACCCCTCTGCTCCCTGAGATAAATGCATATCTGATGGCCTCATTTGGAGAGGCTAATCAGAAACTCAAAAGAATGCAACCATTTGTCTCTTATCTACCTATGACCTAGAAGCGCCCTCCCTGCTTCAAATTGTCCTGCCTTTGCCTCGAGTTGTCCCACCTTTCCGGACTGAACCAATGTACATATTACACATAATGATTGATGTCTCATATTTCCCTAAAATGTATAAAACCAAGCTGTGCTGAGACCACCTTGGGCACATGTCGTCAGGACCTCCTGAGGCTGTGTCACAGATGCACATCCTCAACCTTGGCAAAATAAACTCTCTAAACTAATTGAGACCTGTCTCAGACATTTGGGGGTCACACCTCCCCCAGCTGGATTAAGCCTGTTAGTGTCTCTCCCCTGAAGGGTAGGCCTTTCTTGGGGGCATGTCCTGAGTGTACTTCACCATGGTTGCTTTCCCGCCTCCTGCCACAGCCTGGAGGGGTCTTTTCTATTGCACCAAGAGAACCTAGTGGGGTTCCTACAGGTAAAAACCAAGAAAAGAGTGGGCCACCCACACCCATACTGTTGGAATTCAATTTTCCACAAATTGAAAAAAATTAAAATTCCCAAAATGGAAACACCTTCAGTCCCCAGGAAATTCTTACTCTCAGGCTGTTCCACACTGATGGCTGGAGATTTCCTGCCAGTCAAAGGCTCCGGAAGCTTCTGCTCCAGGTAATCCTGGGCTTCCTTCTCACTGGGGAAGGATGTATTTCATCATCACACAGGACGCTGGGGTTTGGTGTGCGTTGTTTTATCATAATAAGAAATGATCAATTTATTTTATCCAAACTTTGCTATTTACTTAAAAAGATAACTATCCAATATTAGCAAAAATAATTTTAGAACTAAGAATTTTTGCTTTTCAAAATTTATGAACATAATGAGTCACATTTACAGATTTCCCAATGGTTACAAGCCCTCCCATTCCCGAGAGTAGCCCCGCTTCATTCTGGCGGTGGAGAGGGCTTGGCAGGCTGGTATGTGCATTCTGATTGGCTGACATCCTGCAGTGGTTTGGTCCAATTAGAGAGCTGAACTGGCAGCATCTTATTTAAATGTGCACTTTAATCCAATCAGATGCTGGATTTCTCTAAGCCCTCATTTGAATGTAAGCCATACAAATGGGACCAGCTGTGCAAATGACATTTGCAAGGCAATGCCTTGTCTCCCACTCAAACTCCATTTCTCCACCTAGGAGGAGAACTTGACCGCTAGATGTGGTTTGTGTTCAGAATAATCAGGGGCGGGTTACAAGCTCCCCCATCACGCACCTAGTGTCCACAAGTGTGCACATCTCCACTAAGTTCCCCAGCTGCAAGGAAGCAGCTTGTATTTGCAGTAAAAGCTGTAGTTGGCAGTGTCAGCTCTTTTTGCCAGCCTAAAGCTTGTGAGAGACACTCAACTCAATTCCACCTGAGTCTGATGAATTTAATGGAAGAAAACTGAATTCCCAGGAAGTGTGGTGGTCTAACAAATTCCATCAATAGGAAGCATTTTCTTGAGTTCTGTACTTCAAATATGCTATGGAAGCAGCCACATTCCTTGTTGATGATAGTCAGGGTTAGTTTCAAAGGGTTCTAGTTGGCACAGGGATTTCTGAATCTAAAAGACAAAAATGTGGAGAGAAAATAAGTTAGTATGAAAAGACAAGGGGAATAGCTGACAATACCAGCTCCTAGTGTCACTGTCATTTTGTACATTCGGGCCGACCCCCTCCTGCCCCTCAATGGTATAATAACATGGTAACTACGATGGGATTCTTGATTGAAAGGAGGTGAGGAGGAATTTCATTCTTTCTGAAAGTCTGAACTATTGACACAGAGTATGCAATCTTATGTCCTCTCCTGAGTCTTAGAAATCCCAGAAAGGCTACTCGATAGAAATCAGTGTCCTCACCTGGAACTGTACTAAATGGATACAGCCTGGATGAGCACAGCAAGGTAAAAGGGTTGAAGCACTCATCTCTTTTTCATGTCAGAGGAGTGCTGAAGCTCTTATATAGTAACTTTCTCCTTCTTTACACAGATTATGTGTATTTAGCAGTTAACTGTGCACCGTCAATTCATAATGCCAACGAAAATGTTGTCTAGACAGGGCTTCAGTATGCTCTGTCTATTCTTACGAATTCCAGAAGCCGGCTGGGCATGGTGGCTCACACCTGTAATCCCAGCACTTTGGGAGGCCGAGGAGGGCGGATCACGAGGTCAGGAGTTTGAGACCAGCCTGGCCAACATAGTGAAACCCCGTCTCTAGTAAAAATACCAAACTTAGCTGGGCGTGGTGGTGCGTGCCTGTAATCCCAGCTACTCAGGAAGCTGAGGCAGGAGAATTGCTTGAACCCGGGAGGCGGAGGTCACAGTGAGCAGGGATAATGCCACTGCACTCCAGCCTGGGCGACAGAGCAAGATTCCGTCTCAAAAAAAAAAGAATTCCAGAAGCCTCTATTAACCCAAACTATCCTGGCTACCTCTAAAACAGACTTTGCATTCATTTTCTATTGTTGCCATAACACGTTACCACAAATACAGTGGGTTAAACCAAAGTCCATTTATTGTCATACAGCCCTGAAGGTGAGAAGTACAGATCACCCTGTGGGCAGCGCTGGTACCCTCTGAGGTCTCTCTCCTTGGCTTGCAGGTGGCTGTGTTCTCTCTGTGGCTCCTCACATTGTCTTCCTTCTGAGCGTGTCTCTGTGTCCAAATTTCCCTTTTATCAGGACACAAGTCCCACTGGATTAGGACCTACCCTAATGACCTCCTTTCAGCTACCTCTGTGAACATCCTATCTCTAAATAAGGTCACATTGTGAGGTGATGGGGGCCAGGACATATTATTTCCAATATTCATATGAATTTTGGGGTGTGACATAATTCAGCGTATAGCACACAGTCACTATAGATGTGAGATCTCATAGAATCACCACAAACTGCAAAACTGACCCCTGATCACAGTTGTCAAACAAACTTAGCCATGGGCCTTTGAGGGAATCCCCTGTGGTCAGCTGCCTCTAAAATGCCTGAAGGATTCCTGCCTCTTGGTGTTTGTGCCTGTGGGCGGTCCACACCCCTCGATTTACTGACTGGTTTGAACAAGTGGGTTCTGGCAGCAGTGATGACACTTGTGGGATTAGGTTATAGAAAGACCTCGGCTTCTCACTGGGGGTTCCCTCCTGCTCTCCCTGTGCGGCTCCGTCTGGGGAAGCTGGTGGCCAGGCTGTGTGCAGCGCAGAACAGAAGCCCACAGGAAAGAATCTAAAAGTGGATCTTGGCCGGGCCTGGTGGCTCATGCCTGTAATCCCAGCACTTTGGGAAGCCGAGGCAGGTGGATCACCTGAGGTCAGGAGTTCGAGACCAGCCTGGCTAACATGGTGAAACCCCATCTCTACTAAAAATACAAAAATTAGCCGGGTGTGATAATTACGTCTGTAATCTCAGCCACTTGGGAGGCTGAGGCAGGAGAATCACTTAAACATGGGAGGCGGAGGTTGCAGTGAGCCGAGATCACACCACTGCACTCCAGCCTGGGCAACAGACTGGGGACTCCATCTCAAAAAGCAAATTAAATAAAGTAAAAAATAAAATAAATAAATAAAACTGGATCTTGAATCTGCTGACAGTCACATGCCAGAGCCTGGGGGCAGGTTCTGCCCGAGTCAGGTCTGAGATGACTCCAGCCCTGGACAGCGCTGATGGTAGCCTTCTGACAGGCCCCAACTAGGCAGCACTGCGATTCCCGACTGCCACACAGACACTGTGGGACAATATGCATATGTTGTCTGGAGCTGCTAAGTTTTGAGGATAATTTCTTAGGCAAATATCACCTCCCTTCCGGACCAGGTCAGCCATATGTTGGATCTCTATTTGGTTAAAACCGCGAGTCACTTTGTAAGTATCAAAATCTGCCTTATGTAGCCTTTGGCCCCTAAATCAAGCTGTTAAGCAATGAGAACCTGAAACTTCAAGGAGTTTTATAGCCAGTGAATAGAAGAAAGTTCCTTTTAGGATAGTTGGGATAATAAAATAATGTCAGCTTTTTATTGTAGACTTCTAAATATCTCTAGTGTACTAAATCAGGGACTTGGATTCCCACATTAGCCAGGATTTAGGGGTGAACTGCCAACAAACAACCCCACAACCGCAAATTGGCCTTTCCTGCCTGTGGGTCTGTGAGTGGCTACAGGGCCCCCAAATGAAAGGGGGGTGCTCAGGTGCAATTAGTGCACCTCTCATTTGGGGATTCTTAGTTTAAGAGTGAGGGAATGCTATTCATCCCATTGAAAGAGGTGGGGAGTCAGCATTAGCTGGACCATATTAAATCTAAAACAGCCCAAATCCTTGTCATAATAATTCATTATTCTTCATTCCACACTCAACGTACATTGCTCTTGAAAGATAGGAGAATATCCTCCCCAAAGGATACCACCCCCTCCCCAAAGGATGCCACACCCTCCCCAAAGGATGCCACCCCTCCACAAAACAATGCCACACCCTCTCCAAAGGATGCCACCCCTCCCCAAAGGATGCCATACCCTCCCCCAAACGATGCCACACCCTCTCCAAAGGATGCCATACCCTCTTCAAAGGATGCCACCCCTCTTCAAATGACACCACTCCCTCCCCAGATGATGCCACACCCTCTCTGAAGGGTGCCACCACCTCTCCAAAGGATACCACACCCTCTCCAAAGGATGCCACCCCCTCTCCAAAGGATGCCACACCCTCCCCAAAGGATGCCACACCCTCCCCAAAGGATGCCACTCCTCTCCAAAGGATGCCACACCCTCCCCAAAGGATGCCACCCCTCCCCAAAGGGTGCCGTGCCCTCCCCAAAGGTTGCCACCTCTCTCCAAAGGATGCCACACACTTTCCAAAGGATGTCATACCCTCTCCAAAGGATGCCAGCCCTTCCCAAATGATGCCACCCCTCCCCCAAAGATGCCACACCCTCTTCAAAGGGTGCCACCCCTCCCCAAACAATGCCACCCCCTCCCCAAAGGATGCCAACTCTCCCCAAACAATGCCACCTCTCCTCAAAAATGCCACACCTTCTCCAAAGGATGCCACCCTTCCTCAAACGATGCTATCCCCTCCCCAAAGGATGCCAGCCCTCCTCAAACGATGCTACCCCCCTCCAAAGGATGCCACCCCTCCCCAAATGATGCCACCCAAAGGATGCCCCCTCCTCTCCAAAGGGTGCCATTCCCTCCCCAAATGATGCCACCGACTCTCCAAAGGATGGCACCTCCTCTGTAGAGTGTGCTATCCCCTCCCGAAAGGATGCCACCCCCTCCAAAGGATGCCACCCCTTCCAAAATGATGCCACACCCTCTCCAAAGGATGCCACCCCCTCCTTAAACAATGCCACCCCTCCCCAAAGGATACCACCCTCTCTCCAAAGGAAGCCACCCATCTCTAAAAGGTGCCACCCCCTCCTCAAGGGATGCCACCTCTTCCCCAAAGGATGCCACTTTGGCACAAGGATTATTTGGAGCTGAAGGCCAATAATAATCCATTGTTGAGAAACAACGGATGTAAAAAAGCTTTCTGCTTGCCCCTATTTTCCTAAAAGCAGGACAAAATGGACAAAGTTGTCTTTGCCTCTCCACCAGGAAGGAATCAATTTAATCATGTGAGATGATTTTAGATGCTTATCAGCCAGGAGACAGCACCAGTGAAATCTACATGCCAGGCCTTAACTCGCCGGCCCTCTCCACCACTGCTTCTCATAACTCCCCTCCTCCACATCTTTCACTGTTCGCCTTAGCTGAAGGCACTACACAGGCCGGAGTTCTCTAGCTGAACTAAGGAAAAGTCCTGCAGCAACAGTATTTGTTAGAATGTTGGGGTGCTCAGGCCTCCAAAACAGAACCTATCTCTCCGACCTTCTCCCACCCTCCTTTTACCTACTCGTTTTGCTCCCCAGGCAGGCCACAGAAATGAAAACTGTAGTCTTTCCCCACCTTTCTGTCTCGGACCTGGCCATAAGGACATTTTCTGACTTCCCTTTTCTGATTGTGGGTCATAAGACTCCCAGTTCAGAGAGGGTCCTGCCCCATACCCAGGAGGAAGGATGCTGCCCAGAGAGGCCAAGAAGAGTCTGAACACATGGGCTCTGCTGGGGTTCCCCGCTCAGTCTGTTGGGGTTACATCCACACTTTCTGTCCGGTCACATTTCTACATGGCTGTCTTCTATCATGTCCATCCAATGAAGTCTCCATAAAAGGCCCAAGGGGACAGGTTTTGGGGGCTTCTGGAGGGCTGAACTCGTGGGGGCTTGCAGGAAGGGTGAGGGAGAATTCATTTGCAGGCTGGGAGGGTGGCGCAGCCCAACTCCGCTGGGTCAGAAGGCCCTGCGCTTGGACCTTTGCAGAACTCTCCCTCTGCATTCCTTCATCTGGCTATTTATTTGTAGCCTTAAACTATTCTTTAAATAAACAGGTAAATGTAAGTAAGTGTTTCTCTAGTTTTATGAGCTGCTCTAACAAATTAATCAAGCTTAAAGAGGGAGTCGAGGGAACTCCAAGTTACAGCTGGTCAGAAGTTCTGGAGGCTTGGACTTGCCCATGGTGTCTGAAGTAGAGGCAGCCTCGGGGACTGAGCCCTCAACCTATAGGATCTGATGCAATCTCCAGGTAGATACTGTCAGAATTTGTTTATTTATTTAGTTTTTTTATTGTTATGATTATTTGAGATGGGGTCTTGCTCTGTTGCCGAGGCTGGAATGCAGTGGTGAGACCCTAGCTCACTGCAGCCTGGAACTCCTGGGCTCAAGCAATCCTACTTCAGTCTCCTGAGCAGCTGGGACTACAGGCATGCACCATCGTGCTCAGCTACTTATTTCATTCTTGTAGAGACAGAGTCTTGCTATGTTGCCCAGACTGGTCTCCAGTTCCTGGGCTCAAGCAATTCCCTCCCACCTCTGCCTCCCAACGCTGGGATTACCAAGGCATGAGCCACTGTGCCTGGCTGAAGTCGGAATTAAATTGGGTTCAAGGACACCTAACTGGTGCCCACTAAAACATTGGTTGCTTGCTTGCTTGCTGATAGGGAGAAATCCTCACATGTTTGGTCACAGATGTCTTCTGTGTTCATTGTTGTGTTGTGAGATCAGAGGAAAAACAGTTGTTTTTTTTCTACATCAGAGGACACAAATATTCAGACCATAGCAGCTGTGGCAGGAATTTGCTGTTCTATTCCAGCCAACACCTGAAGACTGGTCCAGGCTCTTCCTTTCCTAGAGCATTTACTGAAACCAGCTCACAACTGGGAATGCTTCCTTTGGCGTGTTGAGATGTCCATGTGTCTCCTACAATCTAGCAGTGGCTCCTCGAGGAACCCAGAGCCATTCCTTTGAAACCAGGAGGGAGAAGGCCTTAGTCTCTGCCAGAAGGTAGAATCCTGACTTTGGGCCTGGCTGACTAGCAGACACAGATGGTCTCATCTGATTGGCACGGAGCCCCCGCTCACCCCATCTCCTTCCCTTTAAGACACCCCGCCACCCCTACACAAATTACAATGGAGGCGACTCTGTACTGACTGCAGCTGGCACTGAATGGAAATCTGTTTTCACTGCTTTAATGTCCAGCTTTATCTTTGCGTTAACTGAAAAAATCACAGGATCTATAAATTGGAAAAGCAGATTTCACTTCTTGTAGAGGGTTACAGCCTGCAAAGTGGCCATCCCTCGGGCAGGGAAGCACAGCCTTGGCCAAACCCAGTGCCTGGGCCAAGCCCAGGCACTTTGGGGGAGGGAGGAGTTGGGGCAGGAGCTCTGTGCTTGTTTGGCTTTGCCAAACACACATATTCCACAGCCTACGGGAGGACTATGGAGATCCATGAGGGTAGCCTTCACACATGTTCACGGAACACACATGCACATGACATGTGATGCATGCTTACCTTGAGGTGGAGGCTTCACATGTAAATGTATTCCAATTAGGTCTTTCCAGGACTCAAAGGTGCTCAAGTGCACAGCGTCTGTAAACTGGCCAGGACTAGCCCAAGGTCGTGGTCTCTCATCAGCAGAAAGCTCTTGAAGTCAGTGTCTTGTCCAGTGAATGCTGCCATCATGGCTGGTGGAGCAGGGGGTCGGAGAGTCAGCCTCTGTGAGCTGGGTAAGCTGCAATTGTCTTAATGTTGCTTAGCTGGAGGCCAGTGCTTGGTTAGCTGCTGGAGTAAAAGAAAACCCTTGCAGCAGTGAAAACATGGTTTATTCTTTAAGTGTAGGGTGCTGACTTAACCCTTAGGTCTTGTTTATAATTTGTCACCTTATTGCCACAAAGACTCCATCCTGTGTCTGTGTTTTTTTAAAAAATTCTCTTAACCTCACCTGGACTGTCTCTATGTTAACATGAATGCTGTCAGTTGTGTCTAAACCTCAACAGAAAGGGGTATAATGAGATGTGTCTGACTCCCACCCTATCATGGCCAGAAACTCAGTTTTTAAGGTTCTATGGGGTCCCTTTTACCAACAGAGTGTCTGTGCAGTTGGTTAGGGGTGCTTAGGATTTTATTTTTAGTTTACAGTCTCTAAATCAGGAGACACAGACCGGCTGGCCTATTTGTAGATATGCCAATTAGCATCCAGTGAAGGCTGGCCCCGGGTTTATGTGAAATGAGGAGGGTGAAACCCCAACCTGCAAGACCCTGGGCCCAAATTGCAGTAGCAACAATGCCAAAGTTGCAGCATTTTTCACAAAACAACTCTCACCTATTATTTTCCTTGAATTTCTTGTCATAGCAAGTGCGGAAGATTCACCAGAACCATCAGGCAGAACCACACATTTGTTTTCAGAAATGTCTTTCCTTTCTTTCCACAATGTTGCTTTGGCTTAAATGTTTGTGTCAGAGACGTGTGAACCAGAGCAACTCCATCTTGAATAGGGGCTGGGTAAAATAAGGCTGAGACCTGCTGGGCTGCATTCCCAGGAGATTAAGGAGGTTAAGGCATTCTAAGTCACAGGATGAGACAGGAGGTTAGCACAAGATACAGGTCATAAAGACGCTGCTCATAAAACAGGTTGCAGTAAACAAGCTGCCCCAAACCCACCAAAACCAAGATGGCGATGAGAGTGACCTCTGGTCATCCTCACCACTACACTCCCACCAGTGCTATGACAGTTTACAAATGCCATGGCAACATCCAGAAGTTACCCTATATGGTCTAAAAAGAGGAGAAACCCTCAGCTCTGGGAATTGCCCACACCTTTCCTGGGAGACTCATGAATAATCCCCACCTTATTTAGCATATAATCAAGAAATAAACATAAAAATGGGCAACCAGCGCACCATGCCACTGCTCTGCCTATGGATTAGTCATTTTTTATTCCTTTACTTTCTTAATAAACTTGCTTTCACTTTATGGATTTGCCTCAAATTCTTTCTTGCACCAGATCCAAGAACCCTTTTTTGGGGTTTGGACTGGGACCCCTTTCGGGTAACATTTGTGTCCCCAGCCCAAACTCATCTGTGGAAGCCCCAACCCTCAATGTGAGGATGGCATAGGAGGTGGGGCCTTGGGGAGATAATTAGGTCATCAAGGTGGAGCCCTCACTGATGGGATTAGGGCCACTGTAAAATGGACTCCAGAGAGCTGCCTCACCCCTTCCATCACATGAGGTTGCAACCACAAGACTGCACTCTACAGCCCAGAAGAGGACCCTCACCAGACCCCAGCCCTGCTGACACCTTCATCTTGAACTTTCAGCCTCCAGACTGTGATCAAAAATTCTATTGTCTACAAATTGCTCAGTCTCTGGTGTTTTGTCATAGCAGCTTGAAGTGACTGAGACAAATGTCCTCACTTGAGGATGAGGCATCAGCATTATCATGGAAGGACTACCAATGATCATGGTGACTTTTTTTCTTCTTTATTTCTTTAAACTGACAAAAATTGTATATATGGTGTACAAGGTACTGTTTTGAAATATGTATTGTGTTGGGAATATGGATTGGGGAATGGCTAAATCAAGCTAATTAACATAGACATTACCTCACATATTTATTTGTGGTGAGAACACCTAAAATCTACTCTCTTAGCAATTTTCATGTACTACATTGCTGTGAATTATAGTCATTGTGTTGTACATTAGATGTCTTGAACTGACTCCTCCTGTGTCAGCGTGCCCTAGCCCCCTCCTGTGCCCTTTAGTCAGCGTCTCTGGCCCCCAGATCCTGGTGACCATCATTCCACTCTCTGCTTTATGATATCAACCTCTTTAGATTCCGCATAGAAGTGAGATTATGCAGTGTTTGTCTTTCCATATCTGGCTAATTTCACTTAACGTAATGTTCTCATTTCACCCCTGTTGTCACAAATGAGGGAATTTCATTATGTTTTAAGGCCGGAATAGTATTTCATTGTACATATGTACCATATTTTCTTTACTCATTCATCCGACAATGGATACTTAGGTTAACTCCATGTCTTGGTTATTGTAAATGGTGCTGCAGTGAACATGGTGCAGATCTCTCTTCTGGATACGGATTTCATTTCCTTTAGATATATCCCCAGCAGTGGGGTTGCTATATCGTTTGGGAATTCTATTTTGAATTTAATAATGTTTTCCATAATAACTGTACTATCACGGTGATTTTGAAGATCAATATATCTCCACAGGGTAGACAGCTACACCATCATTAAAAAAAGAGAACAGTGGCCGGGCGTGGTGGCTCATGCCTGTAATCCCAGCACTTTGGGAGGCCAAGGCGGGCAGATCACAAGGTCAGGGATTCGAGACCAGCCCGGCCAACATGGTGAAACCCCATCTCTACTAAAGATACAAAAAATTAGCCAGGCATGGTGACGCAGCGCCTGTACTCCCAGCTACTTGGGAGGCTGAGGCAGGAGAATCGCTTGAACCCAGGAGGCAGAGGTTGCAGTGAGCCGAGATCGCACCATTGCACTCCAGCCTGGGGGACAGGGTGAGACTCCATCTAAAAAAAAAAGAGAACAGTGAAAATGAGAGACAAAAGTAGCTGATTCCCAGCTTCAATTTTGTCTATAATACTAATTTTCATGAAGAGCAACATAAACTCCTTGGAGTGCAGTTAAGTCCATATCTGGAGTCAAAAAAACAAAAATTCAAAACAAAACAAAACACCCATGATAGGTCTGAAATAACTTTTTGCTGTCAGAAAGCAAAGATGAGCCGGGTGCCAGTGGCTCACACCTGTAATCCCAGCACTTTGGGAGGCCGAGGTTAGAGTTCAAGGCCATCCTGGGCAATATAGGGAGAACCTGCCTACAAAACAAAACAAAACAAAAACAAAAACAAACAAACAAAAAAAACCAAAAACACGCACACACACACAAAACAAAAAACCAATTAGGCGCTGTGGTACTCACCTGTAGTACCAGCTACTTGGGAGGCTGAGGCGGGAGGATTGCTTGAGCCAGGAGTTTTGAAGCCACAGTGAGCCTGATTAGGCGGCAGAGCTAGACCCCGTCTCAGCAAAACAAAAACAAAACAAAAACAAAAGCAAAGGTGCTTCCAACAATCAGGGTGATCCTAAAATGACAGAGCAGCGTTTTGAAAATACCTCCCCGGGGCTGCAATGTGACCATTTGAGCACTAAAAACAACCATACAAATGGTTAATTAGAACATGCCCCATTTATAAAAGGAGGAAAGTTAACATACACGTTTCTAATAAGACAACAAAAGGATGGAAATAACATTGTGTTGAATTTTTGTTGATTTTGTTAAAAAGGAGCGCGTTGACACATAGGGGGATTTTGTTTCTTTAAGTTCATGTCTGTTTATATAAAGTTTAGGTCTGGGTGTGTGTGTGTACCTGTGTAAGCAGGAAAGAGTAAACAAAATCGAGAGCCCGGGACAAATGCACTTAAGAAGGGGCGACGGGAGGGCCAGGCTCGCCGGGCTGAGTGCTGAGGAGGGGGCGCGTCCCACCCATGCAAGCCCGGAACAAAGGCGCCTGTCACTCGTCACTCTCCACGCGGGCTGGCTCTGGAAAGCCCAAAGGAAAAAACCCTCACTTTCAGGAAGAATAAGCCTCAGCCCATGTATCTAGGGAACACGTGATGCTGCAAGAAACCAGTGACTTAACGCGTGTAAAAGCAGGAGAGCGTCAGAGGTTCTGACCCCGGGGGAGGAGCAGACCCGCGGCAGCGTGCGGAGACTTAGCGGGCGGAATCTGCCACCAACGCAACCTGGCCCAGAGGTTTTGAACTGACCAACTGGGAGACGTCCCCGAGCTTGAATAAGGGCCTCAAAAGCTTAGCGTTTTATGCAGAGTCGCAACCACCCAGCGCTGGGAACCTGAGCCTGCACAACCCACTAGAAAGCACCCGTGACCGTCCCCTGCGCCCGTTATCCCTGCGCCCCGCACCCCTGTATCCCCGGCTTCTCTGCAGCTGTACACCCTGCACTGCGGCGCCCCCCAGTCCCGCTGTCCGCTCCATCGCGCAGGTCTCCAAAACGAATCCCGGCTTGGAGGGGCTCAGCGGCCCTGGGCCTGTGCGCCGTTGCGGCCGGGAGGGTCATTTTCATGCCTAAGGACCCGCCCCTTGCACGCAACCTCGGGTAGCCAGCCGGAAACGGCGTCCCGGGCTCCAAAGGACATCTCTTTTTACATTTCAGCAAAACAGCCGCACACCTTCTCCCCAGATGGCCTCTGTGCAGCCTGAAAATGCCCGCTCCCTCCAAGTCCCTGGGCAATTGCTGGGACGCATCTCAGAGACTGCGCGGGGCGGAGAAGGGGTATGTGTTTGGGCCACTAATTTGATTTTCTTGGAAACTTTCTTCCAGTCCAAACCGGAGTCAGCTCCTCTCACCCTTGTAGAAAAGCATCCCGTGGGGGCGGGGCGGGGTGGGTTGGGGCCCAGCGTTGGGGGGTTGGGGGGGCGGTCAACACACCACCCTCCCGCCCTTTGTTAAGCTATTGAAGTTCAATTTCATTCCTTCTCCGTCTTCCATTGACCAGAGAGGAAAGGAATCCTTTGAATTTTTTTTTTAAGTTCATCAAATATCCATTTAGCATCTACTATGTGCCAGGCATAGCTGTTAGTACTTGGGGTGAACGCATCAGATGAAAACATGCCTCCCTGGAGCTTGCAATTTAGTGGAGGAGGAGGTGAGAGTAAACGTGAGGTGATGGCACGGTGTTGGAGGGGTGTTCACTATAGGCAGAGGGCGCCAGGAGGCCGGTGGTCGCGTAGGACAGGGAAGGCTGCAGTTGGAGAGCAAACCTGGAGGAGCAGCCGCGGTAAGGCCCAGAGTGCGAAGACGCCGCGTCTAAGGGCAGCAGAGGGGACCTGGAACTGGAGGGTTGGAAGAAGGGTGGTCACAGGCAAGCAGAAGGGGGCCTCAGAAAGACTGGACCTTGTTTTGAGTTTTTGGAGGAACCTCCGTCCTATTTTCCGTGATGGCTGCACCAGTTTACATTCCCCTCAACAGCGTGCGAAGGGTCCCTTTTCTCCACATCGTGACCAACACTTGTTGTCTCTTGTCTTTTTGATATTAGCCATTCTAACAGGTGTTCGGAGACATTTCATTCTGATTCTGATTTGCATTTTCCTGAATTTTATTTATTTATTTATTTTTTGCGACAGGGTCTCCCTCTGTGGCCCAGGCTGGAGTGCAGTGGTGCAATCTCGGCTCACTGCAACCTAGACTTCCCGGGCTCGAGGGATACTCCCGCCTCAGCCTCTGGACTAGATGGGACCTCAGGAACGACCACGCCCCGCTGATTTTTAAAAATTTTTTGTACAGACGGAGTCTTCCTATGTTGCCCAGGCTGGTCTCCAAAGCCTGGGCTCTAGCAATCCTCCCACCTTAGGCTCTGGGATTAGAGGCATGAGCCACCCTACCGACCCTCCTAGATTAGTAATGTTGAACACCTATTCATATGCCTGTTGGCCATATGTATGCCTTCTTGGGAGAAATGCCTATTTAGGTCCTTTGTCTATTTTTAAAGTTAGGTTATTTGGTTCTTGTTTTGGTTTTGTTTTTTGCTAATAAGTTGTAGGAGCTCTTATATATTTTGGGTATTAACCCCTTACCAGATGTTTGGTTTGCAAATGTTTTCACCCATCCATAGGTTGCCTTTTAATTTTGTTGATCCAGCCATCTCACTTCTGAGTATGCCCAATGGAAATAAAATCACTGTCATAAAGAGATACTTGCACTCCCATGTTAATTACAGCACTATTCATAATAGCTGAGATACAGAAACAACCTAAATGTCCATCAGTGAATGAATAAAGAAAACGTGGTATAGATATTAGTGTTACATGCTATACTACACTATAATAATGAAAATTATTCAGGTCTAAAAAAGAAGGAAACCATGTCAACAACATGGATGAACCCAGAGGACATTATGCTAAGTGAAATAAGCCAGGCACAGAAAGACAAATAATACTGCATGAGCCAACTTATATATGGAATCTAAAAAAGTCAGGGGCTGGGTGAGGAGGAGTACAAAGCTTCAGCTATAAGATAAGTAGTTCTGGAGACCTGAAGCACAGCATGGAGACTCTGGTTAATAACATATCATGGACATAAAATTTACTGAGTAGATCTTACATGTTGTCACCGCACACACAGACACATGCACACACACACAGGTAACCACATGAGGTGATGTGTGTGTTAATTGATTTGACTGTGGTAATCATTTCACCACGTGACATGTACCAAGACATCATGCTGTGCACCTTGAATATGTACGAGCTTTATTTGTAGATCATACTGTCAGAGGCATTTGAGTTAGAGCAACTCCATCTTGAATAGGGGCTGGGTAAAATAAGGCTGAGACCTGCTGGACTGCATTCCCAGGAGGTTAGGCATTCTAAGTTACAGGATGAGATAGGAGGTCGGCACAAGATATAGGTCACAAAGACCTTGCTAATGAAACAGCACGCGGTAAAGAAGGCAGCCAAATCCCACCAAAACCAAGATGGCGACTAATGTGACCTCTGGTCGTCCTCACTGCTCATTATAATACATTAATTATCATTAATTATAAGTAAAAGATACTCCCAACAGCATCATGACAATTTACAAATGCCATGGAAACATCAGGAAGTTACCCTATATGGTCTATAAAGGGAAGGAACCCTCAGGTCCAAGAATTGCTCACCCCTTTCCTGGGAAACGCATGAATAATTCACCCCTTGTTTAGCATATAATCAAGAAATGACCATAAAAGTGGCCAACCAGTAGCCCTCAGAGCTGCTCTGCCTATGGAGTAGCCATTCTTTTATCCCTTCACTTTCTTCCTTTTTTTTTTAATGGTGAAAATATATGCATATATTTAGAATTAGCCAGCTGGACTCAGTTTAGATGATCCCAATTTTGTTGGTAACATCCAAAGCACTGTAATCAGGAGCCAGTTGAACATATGCTCTCCATCAGGCTGATCAGGGTGTTGACCTTGGCCACATTAATGTCACAGAGCTTCTTCACAGCCTGTTTGATCTGGTGCTTCTTGGCTTTAACATCCACAGTGATCACAAGTGTGTTGCTGTCTTCTATCTTCTTCATGGCAGACTCAGTGGTTAGTGGAAACTTGATGATAGCACAGTGGTCAAGCTTGTTGGGGACAATTTGCCCAGGATATTTGGGCTGCCTCCGGAGTCACAGTGTCTTGGGCCACCAGAAGGTGGGTGACATGCGGATCTTCTTTTTTTGTGTGTGGCTATGGACACCTTTCAACACTGCCTTCTTGGCCTTCAAAGCCTTTGCTTTGGCTTCGGCTTTAGGAAGGGCAGGAGTTTCCTTCTTCGCTTTCAGTGCCATCTTGTGAAAAGCTCCTTTACTTTCTTAATAAACTTGCTTTCACTTTATGGATTTGCCCTGAATTCTTTCTTGTATGAGATCCAAGAACCCTCTCTTGGGGTCTGGATCGAGACCCCTTTCCGGTAACAGTACCTCAATAAAGCTGGGAAAAAATAAAAAGGGACCAGTAAAGCATTCTCAACAACAAAGAGCGTGGGGCTTTTCTTTGTAGGGCCCTGTGAGGCCTCTGGGGGTTTTCCAAGAAGCAAGGGCTTTGAGACTGTGTGGGTAAAGCTCCTGGGGCTGGAAATGTGATAGTTTTATAACTGTGATGATAGGGCCAGGCACAATGGCTCATGCCTGTAATTGGGAGGCCAAGGCGGGAGGAATGCATGAGCACAGGTGTTGGAGACCAGCCTGGGCAATATGGTGAAACCACTGTCTCTACAAAATACAAAAAACTACCCAGGTTTGGGGAGCCTGCCTGTAGTCCCAGCTACTCAGGAGGCTGAGGTGGGAGGATTGCTTGAGGTTGAGACAGCAGTGAGCTGTGATTGTTGCCACTGCACTGCACTCCAGTCTCGGCAACAAATTGAGACGCTGTCTCGAAAAAAAAAATGTGATGATGGCAAGTCTATCATGCACAAGCATGCTGCCCCGCACACCTTCAGGGACGGTCCCACTGGTTGTAGTGATCCACTGTGCAGGTGTCCTTGAGAATGCAGCCAGGCGGGGTTTCTCCTGCCTTCCCAGAGCTCGGCTTGTGGCGGGAGTGACGTGACAGTCACCCACTCAGTGCCACGAAGGGAGGTAAAGTGGTGATTGGATGGAAAGCAGTGTGTCTGGGCTCCCTTGCCTTGGGGTCACCTCCAACAGCTGCTGTGCCCGGAGGACTCGTGAAAAGTCACCTTGAAGCTACAGGTCGTGGCATGGAAGGGCTCACAGACAATTTTAGAGTAAGAGTGTCACACCTACACTAGGTGAGTCAACTTACCCCTCTCCACCCCTCCATCCTGGGTGCACGTGTCCATAGGTGTTGTCTCTCTCTGCTGTCAGACTTTTCCCAGGATAAAGTCCTACTTACGAAGACCAGGCCTCAGGTGCGAGAGCAAGAGTGCCGGGCAATGGCACGCAGGTGTGGCCACTGAGACACAGGATGTCCTGGCCACGCTGCAGAGAAAGGTGGGCTGGAATGGTGATCCCAACGGGAGTGCCTCAAATGAGCCAGGCCTGTTTAGCGTATCCTGAATATTCAGTGCCTATTGTATACTTAGCGTTGTCCTGAATATTTAGTGCCTCTTGCATATCTAGTCATCCTAGATACCTAAGCCTCATGTTTATTTATCTTAATATTTAGTGCCTCTTGTATACTTAGGGATCATTAACATCTAACACGTACTGCATCTTGTATCTATAGTGGTCATAAGTATTCAGTACCTCTCATAAATTTAGCAATCCTGAATATTTAGTGCTTCTTGTATAGTCAGTGATCATGAATATTTAGTGCGTCTTGTACACCTAGTCACCATGAATATTTATGTGCACTTTGTATACCTAGTGATCATGAACACTTAGTGCCTCTCATACATTTATCAATCCTGGATTTTCAACGTCTCTAATATATTTAGTGATCCTGAATATTTAGTGCTTCTTGTATATTTTGTGATCATTAGTATTTAGTTCCTCCTATGCGTTTAGTGATCCTGAATATTTAGTGTCTCTGGTATATATATGTGTGTGTGTATGTATATATATATATATATATATATATATATATATATATACACATTTTTTTTTTGAGATTGAGTCTCGCTCTGTCACCCGGGCTGGAGTGCAGTGGCATGATCTCTGCTCACTGCAAGCTCTGCCCGCCGGGTTCATGCCATTCTCCTGCCTCAGCCTTCTGAGTAGCTGGGACTACAGGTACCCACCAGCACACCTGGCTAATTTTTTTGTATTTTTAATAGAGATGGGGTTTCACCGTGTTCGCCAGGATGGCACGATCTCGATCTGCTGACCTCGTGACCCGCCCGCCTCGGCCTCCCAAAGTGCTAGGATTACAGGTGTGAGCCACCGCCCCGGCCTATTTCGTGATCATTAATATTTATATCCTCCTATGTATTTAGTGATCCTGAATATTTAGTGTCTCTGGTATATTTTATGACTATGAATACTTAGTGCCTTTCTGTTGTATATTTAATGATCATGCATATTAAGTGGTGCTTATATACTTAGCAATCATCAATGTTTAGTGCCCTGAGGCCTTCTGTTTACTCACTGTCTCCTGCATATTCAGTATTTTGGTCCCGCAACCGCCTCTGCCTTTGAGGCCCACAAGCTCTACTTATGACTTACCTCTGGATCTTGTACTCCAGCCTCCAGAGCTGCGAGCCCTAAACCCTGTTGTCTGTAACTTTCCCAGGCTGTGGTATTTTGTTACAGCAGCCTGCATGGGCAACTTTCGTTTGTCTATTTTACTTAACTGAGTGACCAAAGAAGGATGGAGCCATTCCTGGGCTGGGGATGACTGGGGGAAGTCTCAGTGTTCGGTTGGGGCTGGGGCATGGAGAACCTTCTGTGGGATTCTCTGCAGGGTGAAGTCAGGCCCCTTGAACAGGTGCAAGTATCAAGAGGGTGAGTATTAGCCTGGAGCTCTGGGAAATGTCCACAGTCCATGGTTTGTGGTCACTCAAGTCGTGGTTTGGATGAGCTCATGGGAAAAAGGAAGTGTCAGGGTGGAGGCCGCAGGACCTGTGGTGAGTGGTGAGAGGTACCCCCCGCCCTGGCACACACGGTCTTGGAGCTGTCCCTCAGCACACCACACCAGGTTGGCCTGCTGACTTGCTGTGACTCCCAGCGTGCGGCCTGAGGTACAGTGAGCAGCTTCCAGGCGAGGCCCCAGGGGGCCTTGGCCCCACCACCAACCCACTGCTGAGTCACTGGTGACCCCTCCTAACCCTCCCTGACCTACCAGCTGACCCCTCCTGACCCTTTGGGTGACCCCTCATGCCTCCTCCCTGACCCAACCCTGACCCCTCCTGACCTTCCACTGACCCCTTCCTGACTCACCAGCTAACCCATCCCTGACCTTCTGGCTGACCCCCCCGACCCATCAGCTGACTCATCCCTGATCCCTCCTGACCCTCCACTGACCCTTCCCTGACTCACCAGCTGAACCCCTCCCTGAACCCTCCTGACCCTCCACTGGCCCTCAGTGGGTGGCGAATGTCCAGGAGCCAGGTCTAGCCTGTTCACCAGACACCTGCTGTCCAGGAAGCCTGGCTCCCACCCCGGCCCCACAGGCCCACCAGCCACAATGCTTTGGGCTGGTTTGTTATCTTGGCAGGAGACACCTAGAAGGGCCTGGCCAGCAGGTGACCAGCAGGGCCCACTCAGGGCCATGGGTGGGCTGAGAGCACAGCCCACTGGGCAACAAAGGTGGCCTGGGGCCCAAAGGCAGCTCCACGAGGGGTGGCTGCTGGGTCCAGGGTCTGGAAGCCAGGTGTTGCCATGGACTTGGCATCCCCAGCCGCCTGCACAGAAGCAGCTGCCACCAGGCAGTGGTGGGACAGATGTGGCCAGCATCCCACTGCCCCTGACACTTGGTGAGCGGCATGCAGGAAACTAGAGACTCTTCCAGGCAGGCCCAAGACCTGCTCTGGTGATCAGAGTCGGGGCCTCTGTGGGACAGGATAACACACAGACAGGGACAATGAGGACGAGTTCAGCACGACCCACACTGGACAGGGGTCAGAGCAGATACCCAAAACTGCTTCCCTGAAGGACTGGCATCACAAACGCTTCAATGCAGCATCTCAGGAGAGGAAGAAATTGCAGGGAAGAGGGTGGTTGTTTTTTTTGTTTCGTTTTCGTTTTTCAATTGGAAGACTCGAGCATTTTGGTGTTGAGCATGTGGGAACTGACCAGCTGGGGCTGGGGAGAGACCCACAGTCAGGAGAGAGGAGGAGAGGGATGCGGGACAAAGCTGAGCCAAGCCGAGAGTTCTGCAAAACTGCAAGCTCTCTCTGTGGGTTACTCCTGAGGCTGGCTTCAGCTGCATTCTCCTCCTGGGACATATCTCCTTTTCTCTTCCTCCTCCATAAAGTGCCTGCCCATAGGGATGTGTGAAGTGTGATGAGCAAACTTCCAGTGAAGGTGGGTGCATGTTGGGAATGCAGCGGGCGGGGAATGCAACAGGCAGGGAAAAGTCACGATGCATCCACAGGACAGACAGCCAGCCCTGCAGAGATGAGTTGCCCACAGCCACCAAGAGGGCCCTCTTCTCTCCACAAGGTCCCCAAGTGATGGCTGCTGCTGCACCAAGGGCAGTCCCTGCTCCCCCTCTTTATACCTGGGGTAGGCCAGTGGCATCCTGAAAAGCACTAGGATGGGCCTCTCTCCTCTTGGGCATCTGGTCTACCCTCCTCATAGCCCTTCTGGGACCCCAGGCTTTCTTGCCTTTCCTTCTTGTTCTCCTGGTTACGGTGATGATTTGCTACACATTCGTGTATTAGGTTCAGATTTTTAAAAAAATCGAGCGGTGAAAATCACATGACACACAATGTACCATTTTAAAGTACACAATTCAGGTGCATTTAGTACATTCACAATGTTGTGCAGTTACCACCTTTGTCTAGTTCCAGACCATCCTCATCACCCCTAAAGGAAGACCTGTCCCCACTAGGCAGGCACTCCTCTCCTCCAGCCCCTGGCAGCCACCAGTCTGCCTTCAGTCCCTGTGGATTTGCCTGTTTTGGACATTTCGTATCAGTGGACTCAGACAATCTGTGGCCTTTGTATCTGGCTTATCTCACTGAGCATGCTGTCAAGGTTCACCCTGTAGTAGCATGTCAGTGCTTCATTCCTTTTGAATGACTGAATAATATTTCATTGTAATTGGATAGATCCCAATCTGCCTACCCATTCCTCAGTTGATGGACATTTGGGTTGTTTCTACCTTCTGTATTTCATGAAGAATGCTGCCATGAGCATTTGTGTACATGTTTGTGAATAAATGTGTATTTTCATTTCTCTTGGGTATGTATACCTAGGACTGGAATTGCACGGCCATACGGTGATATCTTCTTTATGCGAGAGTCTAATGAAGCTGGGTGCTTCATTACAGGCTCATGCCTGTAATCTCAGCACTTTGGGAGGCCAAGGCGGGCAGATCACTTGAGGTCAGGAGTTCGAGACCAGCCTGGCCAATGTGGGGAAACCCCGTCTCTACTAAAAATACAAAAATTAGCTGGGTGGCCGGGCGCGGTGGCTCACACCTGTAATCCCAGCACTTTGGAAGGCCAAGGTGGGTCGGTCACCTGAGGTCAGGAGTTGTTGACCAGTCTGACCAACAAGGTGGTGAAACCCTGTCTCTACTAAAAATACAAAAATTAGCCGGGCATAGTGGCAGTCGCCTGTAGTCCCAGCTACTCGGGAGGCTGAGACAGGAGAATTGCTTGAACCCTGGAGGCAGAGGTTGCAGTGAGCTGAGATGGCGCCACTGCACCGAGATCACGCCACTGCGCTCCAGCCTGGGCTACAATGCTAAATTCCATCTCAAAAAAAAAAAATAGCTCGGCATGGTGGCAGGCACCTGTAATCCCAGCTACTTGGGAGGCTGAGGCAGAAGAATCACTTGAACCCGGTAGGCAGAAGTTCCAGTGAGCCGAGATCACGCCACTGCACTCCAGCCTGGGACACAGGGCATGGCTTTGTCTTAAAAAAATAAAAAATAAGAAAAGAGTCTAATGAGTTTTCTCTTACCAAAGCAGGCAGCACTGGATAATTTACTACATTTCTGAATCAGATAACCCGATAAAGAACCAGATCTTAGACCAGAGCTGTCCAGTGCAACTTTCTGTGATGCTGGAAACATTCTGTATCTGTGCTAACATGGCATCCACTGGCTACATGTGGTTAGGGTGACTGAGGAACTACATCTTTGTATTAAATTTTAATTATCTGAAAATTAAATAGCTTGTGTGGCTCGTTACTGTCTGTGAAACACCATAGCCTCAGAGATAACAAATGCAGTGCTACCCCAAAGTAGCCCTCCCACCACGCTGCCTCCCCCTTCACCCCATTTGAGCACCTTTTACAAAATCTGGAAATCCATGGTGATAGTTGAAACACCTAAGTCCCCAGACCCTGCAAAAACCTTAAATACCACTAAAGGGTATTTGAAGAGATAGAGTGACCTACATAGATATAAATACATAAAGATAAATTTCAACTGAAAATGAAGGCTTTCACAAGAAAAATAATGAAAAGATCTCTGGAAGGCTACACCCTCTCCTGGCCAGTCCTTGCAGTTTTGTTTTACTGAAATGGTGCCCACTCGTGATACACACTGTGAATATTGTGCTGTTTAGATCCACACTGTTGGAGCAGCTGCTTACCAATTTTTGGTTCAAATAGTTTCATAGCACTGGGATATTTTCTAAAGACATGCAGATTTGTGGTTAGCTGGTGTCCAGGAAGCCCTGACTTGAGTAGACCCAATTTTAGTAGGGTAAATATAAATTATATAATATTCCTGAATAATTTTACTGGCCTGTATTTATTATTACAATAAATACTTAATAATTGCTAATTACCCTGATCTGATAATAAATGTATTCAAAGTATCACTATGTACCCCATATAATATGCAATTGTTAGGTGTCAATTAACTAAATACTAGCACTTTGGGGATTAAAGAAAAAATAAAAACAAAGTAGGAATTATCCATATTTTGAGAAATAGATTAATGAAAACTGTACAGATAACAACAGAAGAATAACACTTTCTGAGCTCTGATTTTGTGGCAAACATTTTTTAAGGGATTATCGTGGATTAAATCAATGAACCTCTCTCCTCCAGGATTTAGGGGCTATTAACACAGCCATTTCAGTTAATTTGCCTGGAGGTCTCCGACGCTCTTAAACCCTCCATTTTATAAGGAAAAATGTAGTTACAAACCGTTATTTTCCTAAAGTCCACATGTATCATCATTCATCTGGTTCTAACAATACTCATTTTAAATTTGCTTAACTCGCAAATTTAGTTTTCCTTTTCAAAAACAGTGTACAAATTATTTTGTTCTCCAATTTTAGCAATCAATTTAAGGGGATCTTTGATTAATGTTTGACCAACCCGAATTAAACAAACTAAATTCCTTTAAATAATTATCCTATTCCAAATTAAGTCTTCTTAAAAGGTTTATACCTTTCAGCATCTACTAATCTGGTTCCTTTTAAGTACTGAAACTTTCCTCATGACCTTTAGAATTCCCAGCCAAATAAATTAAATCTTAACACTGGTGGAGCTCACATTGTTAAAACTTAGCAATTTAAATAGAAATCCATAGACTTACTCTTCAGAATTAAAGTGCAAACTACTTAGAGATCATAAATACTTTTAATATCAGATAAATCATTAAGAAATTGCATTCTGTACTTGATGACCACACGGGAACCTTGCTAGAGTCAAGAGAACTTGTCACTAGTAATTATGAAGACACCTTTACGGTGAGCGTTATTAAAACCCTACTAGAGGTTTTGGGTGGGACTCAAGAGCAAGGGGTGGCCACCTGTGGACGAGGGTTCCCTGTTGTTAACAGAACACGTTGCCCACCTCGCAAGTATGCAGCCCAATCAGTCCCCAGGGTCTCGGTTCCCGTTGCGCCCTTCCCCATGGCCACTGCGCTCATTCATGAGCCTAGGGTGATCAGGCCTCCGGCCTATAAAGAACTGCAGGATCAGTGCGGCTCTTTTCTCGAGATAGTAGGTGGCTCTGAAAAGAGCCTTTATGTCCATCAAAGGGGCCCCGGGGGCGGCGGGCGGCCTCACTTGCCCTTGGCCTTGTGGTGGCTCTCCGTCTTCTTGGGCAGCAGTACGGCCTGGATGTTGGGCAGGACGCCACCCTGCGCGATGGTCACGCGGCCCAGCAGCTTGTTGAGCTCCTCGTCGTTGCGGATGGCCAGCTGCAGGTGGCGCGGGATGATGCGCGTCTTCTTGTTGTCGCGCGCCGCGTTGCCGGCAAGCTCCAGGATCTCGGCAGTCAAGTACTCGAGCACCGCGGCCAGATAGACCGGGGCGCCGGCGCCCACGCGCTCCGAATAGTTGCCCTTGCGGAGCAACCGGTGCACGCGGCCCACGGGGAACTGCAGCCCCGCGCGCGACGAGCGCGACTTAGCCTTGGCGCGCGCCTTGCCACCCTGCTTACCACGACCGGACATTTCCGAGTCAAGGAAAAAAGACAACGGCAACCGAAAAGCGAGACTAAAAACAAGAGGGCAGTGAAGGCCAGCGAGCCCTTATGTATGGTACAGAGGTAGGCTAGACCGCGGCGTTCGATTGGATGGCTATGGTAGCCAATCAGAAAAAGAACCTGGCACTCCTAATTTGCGTATTCCTTTCCCAGCGATGACGTAGAACAACGTTTGATCCAATCAGAAGTGAGCAAATCCTGAGCCTTCATTTGAATACAAAACGTACAAATAGAGTTACTCCGAGCGCCGCGCGTTTCTGTTTGGAGAGACTCAGCCATCATGCCAGACCCGTCCAAATCGGCTCCTGCGCCCAAGAAGGGTTCTAAAAAGGCTGTCACCAAGGCACAGAAGAAGGACGGCAAGAAGCGCAAGCGCGGCCGCAAGGAGAGCTATTCTATCTACGTGTACAAGGTGCTGAAGCAGGTGCACCCCGACACCGGCATCTCGTCCAAGGCCATGGGCATCATGAACTCCTTCGTCAATGACATCTTCGAGCGCATCGCCAGCGAGGCCTCCCGCCTGGCACACTACAACAAGCGCTCCACCATCACGTCCCGCGAAGTGCAGACGGCCGTTCGCCTGCTGCTGCCCGGCGAGCTGGCCAAGCACGCCGTGTCCGAGGGCACCAAGGCTGTCACCAAGTACACCAGCTCCAAGTGAGGCGTTCCTCGGCGTCCTGAACCCAAAGGCTCTTTTCAGAGCCACCCACACGATCAAGAAAGGGTTTCGAACACGGTGAAGGGTTATGTAACCTAATGTGTCTCCATGCACCCTAGCGGTTGCCGGGTGCGGCCGAATCTGAGCCGTGTGTGTGTGTGTGTGTGTGTGTGTGTGCGCGCGCGCGCCGGCACAGAACGAGAAAAACTGCTCGTTACAGAAATCGGGGTAGAAACTGCTCAGGTGATGTAGCTCAGTAATGTTGGGAGGCGATCAAGGACCCCCTCTCCATCCCCTCCCTCCGCGCAGAGCTATTAACTCACGACGAGATTTCTTTTTTTTTTCTTTCTTTCTTTTTTTTTTTTTTTTTTTCTAGAAGAAGTCTCGCTCTGTCTCTAGGCTGGCGTGCAGTGGCGCAATCTGGGCTCACTGCAACCTCCGCCTCCTGGGTTCAAGCGATTCTCCTGCCTCAGCCTTACGAGTAGCTGGGATTACAGGCACGCCCCACCACGCCTGGCTAATTTTTTGTATTTTTAGTAGAGACGGGGTTTCACCATGTTGGCCAGGATAGTCTCGATCTTCTGACCTGGTGATCCATCCGCCTCTGCCTCCCAAAGTGCTGGGATTACAGGCGTGAACCACCGCACCTGGCCCCAAATGTCTTTTATAAGCAAGTGGTGCATTCCTGGATGTTGAGCGCTTGCGCCCGGTTCAGGACCGGGTCCAAATGAGGTTGGCGTGCGCCGTGCAGGTGAGGAGTGCGGGTCACCTCCCCCCAAAAGACCCTGTGCCAACCTCCCCAACCCTACCCGCCCCCCATGGGCGAGGCCAGACGTGGCGCAAGACCACGGGCTCTGAGGCCATGGGTGTTGTCACTTTCCCCTGGCGGTGGTGCCTGGCTCTGCATTTGCTTAAGACTTTTCCATCCCTGCCTGGACCAGACAGACATGTTTAGATTTAAGCAATGAACATTCCGGGAGGATATTTTCCTGGCAGGATACCGCGATGGCAGGATGTTTGATACCGAATCGAAGCACGGCGTCAAAGCAGCGTCCTGCGCGGGGGAGCCGGATGTAATAAGCGACCCCAGCTGCCGGTAACTTTAACCCTTATGGGAGTGGGGGTGGGGGAAGGGGTTAATTTAGGAGGAAAAGAATTCCCTTTTTCTGAGCAAATGTAGCTGCCTCCCTCTTTAGCCACATTATTTTCTGCGAGGCGTTAGCAACGCAGAATTCCTTTCCTACCCCCTCCAAATTCACGGCATTTATTTGGGGAGTGCCATTTTGGCGCAGGAAAGCTCTTTGGCACGAAGAGTTTTCACTTTGGAAAGGGCATCGTTTACGTTTTCATGACTTGGCTTTTCTTCTTTAGAAAAAGAAGATTTCCAGTAATTGCTTCCTCAAACCGTTGTGAAAATTCGAAGTACTGAGCGTTTGTGTCACCATTTCCAGCAGGGAATAAAAATTCAATAAAGTTAAATGAGAAATAATTTTTTTTTTTTTTGAGACGGAGTCTTGCTCTGTCGCCCAGGCTGGAGTGCAATGGCGCGATCTCTGCTCACTGCAACATCGGCCTCCCGGGTTCAAGCGATTCTCCTGCCTCAGCCTCCCGAGTAGCTGGGACTACAGGCGTGCGCCACCCACGCCCAGCTAATTTTTTTAATTTTTAGTAGAGACGGGGTTTCACCATGTTGGCCAGGATGGTCTCGATCTCTTGACCTCGTGATCCACCCTCCTCGGCCTCCCAAAGTGCTGGGATTACAGGCGTGAGCCACTTCTCCTGGCCGAGAAATAATTTTTAAATAAAATTCAATGAAAAATATTTTTCCCCCAAGTCATTTCTCCAAAGGGAACCCGTCGCGTGCCTGGGATGGGGAAAGAAAGGTCACCGTGAACATCCTCGACCAAAACGGCTTTGTCCCCTATTCCCCACCTTTTTTTTCCTGCGTGATTCCTCTACAAGAATCTTTGAGAACCTCGCATGTTTTAAAGCTATCTAAAATATTTTTATTTTCAATTAAAATAGTTGCAAAGATACAAATACCAACGTGGAACTTTTTAAAAATCAAAATTCTCACATCAGTCTCAAGGTGCCTTTTGGAATATCAATATGATAGTATAATCAATTCATAAAATACATGACCAAATTTTTCTTTGTCAATGCGATGTTTCAGATGATTTTTTTCCTCCTGAATGCCTATTTCCATTCTCCATTTGCCTTACAATTTCACCCTACCATAATATATCTATTGTATGTTTAATAGTGTTTTGTCTATTGTTCTCTGCAAAAAAGTCTACATTGAAATTTAAGCATACCTCTGGGTAGTCTCTCACTGTTAAGAAAAATCATCTCGACAGTACACAATTGTTCAAAACATAAATAATTTGATGTTATCAAACAGATAAACTTTTAGTGAAACTGACTCTTAATGAGCTGGATGGTGCACCCACTCTCTTCTCTCCTCTCCTTTCCACCTCAATGACTGCACACATGCAGTGTTCATATTGTTACAGTGTTAGCACAGCATGGGATCATTTCCATATGGTTACAATGCTAGCAGTGCACGGGGTCATTTCCATTCTGTTTTGTTTTGATATATGCTCCAAAAAAAATTTACAAAAAATACACAGGAATGACAATTTTGTCATAGGCACTTTATTCAATTCTTTGCATCCCTAGTTATAATCCAAATATTAAACAGTGATCCATCATCAAAAGTAAGTGGGACTTGTCAACACCCTTAGTACTGTCAAGAAATATAGGATTTGTATGAAAAGCTGTTGAATCCAGTCCTCTCCACTATGAAACAGGTGCCCAATGACTGGAACATCCAAGCCCTCGGCCTCCTACCAGCATGGATTGGAAGTCAATACCTTAAACATTTGCAGCTGTGAAACTACTCTCACAGACCCATATAGTTCTCCACCTTAATGAACTTAAAACATAGGTTTAATAAAGTGAAACCAGTCTCCAGTAGAGAGAGTGAATGATTGTGTTAGCACAAGGCAACAACACTGGTTAGTGCCAGAGATCAAATCAAGGCACAAGATGAACATTTCATGACATTTTCCAAGTGTAATTCTCTAAGAAGGCATTTTGTGATGGATAATGTCAAACGTCAGTCAATTCATGTCTCAGTCCTTCTGATTCCCCTGGCACAAACTTGAAGTAGAAACAGGCTGTCTTTTCCTGCTACATTAGCACCCCCAGGCCCAGAATGAATGGGATTTGTCCGTCTCTCCTAGGACAGGGATCTGTTAAGGGAGAGGCAAAGAAGGTAAAACAGGATCCTTGCTACTAAGATTTTATAATGGAGAAAATTCAGAGCAATCGTGTCCAGAACCCATTTCTCTAATTATAGTGTTACAACAGAGAAAGACAAATGTTAATGATAAATGAAGGCAGTGCACATCAAATATGTGAGAATCCACAGAGACTAAGGGAATTAGGACTCACTCAACAAAATGGAAGCATTTTCTGGGTTGGAGAGACATGCCAAGATTCTTAAACTAAGCCAAATTTTTAAACTAAGCTTCATCTCACCTATCTGAGATGGGTGAGTGACAATCACTTAAATACATGTCAGATTGTATGCCTACAAAATCCCTCCAGACTGGCATACAATCTGACATGTATTTAAGAGATTGCCCCTCACCCATCTCAGATGGAAATTTCAAGTCAGATTTGCTAATTATTATGCAGTAAATAAAATAATTTGGAAGGAATCATCTCCAATTAAACCAACTTTGATTAAAAAACAAAAAATAACAAATGTTGGTGAGAACGCAGGGAAAGGGGATGCTTGTACACTGCTGGTAAGAATGTAAATCAGTACAGCCACTATAGAGACAAATATGGGCATTCTTTAAAAAACTAAAAACAGACTTACCATATGATCCAGCAACCCCATTGCTGGGTATATATCCAAAAGAAAGGAAATCAGTATATCAAAGAGATGTCTGCGGTCTCATGTTCATTGCAGCACTATTTATAATAGCCAAGATAGAAAGTCAACCTTAGTGCCCATCAGTAGATATATGGATAAAGAATATGTGGTACATTTACACATTCGAATACTATTTGGCCATTAAAAAAAATGAAATCCCGTCATCAGCAACATGGATGGAACTGGAGGACATTATGTTAAGTAAAACAAATCAGGCACAGAAAGACAAATACTGCATGATCTCACTCATACGTGGGAGCTAAGAACATGCATCTCATGGAGGTAGAAAGTTGATTGCTGGTTACCAGAAGCTGGGAAGAGTGGTGGGGAAAGGAGGAGATGAAGTTGATTAATGGGTACAAAAATATGCTTAGAAGAAATGGTAACATCTAGTATTGGTTAGAAAAGTAGGGTGACTGTAGTTAACAATAATTAGTTGTATTGCTGGAGGAGAGGAATTGGAATGATCTCGACCTAAAGAGGGTGTGAATATGATGACGGATGTCCCAGTTGCCCTGGTTTGATTGTTAAGCCTATGCGTATATCAAAATATTTGTACCCCCCAAATATGTACAACTATTACGTACTACTAATAAAAAAGCATATTGCTCTGAAAAAGTGCTCTAAAAAATAAAGCCTATTTACAAAAAGAATTTGGAGGAAAGAAAACTCCCTTTAAGAAGAAACTAACCCAAGAAAATGGATTTACTTTATGAGGCCAGAGAGGTTAAATGTTGATAAATGCGTGGCTGTCATTGTGTTGGGAGTGTGCAGTGGGAACTGAGCCTGGGTAGAGTGCATCTTCTACCAGTGGGAACTGAGCCTGGAAACCGAATTCTAATTCCAGGCAACGTTTTTGCTTAGAGGGTGGGTAGCTCTCAGGTATTCGTGGTTGGGGTGTCACCGGTATGGGGTATTTTTAGGGGGAGGACAGCCTGGGCCCCAGTCAGGCCTGCATGCCTTAGTTTTTAATGTGTCATCCAGAGATCATACTTATTTTTCCTATGATTTGCTGGAGTTTTTTTTAAAAAGCACTATATTTGCATTATTCAAAATAATCTTTCACTGTGTAATATGCGTACACACACACACACACACATTTTGGGGGTAAAATACGAGAATCCCTTAATTGGGGAAATTTTAGCTGAGTGATAAGGAGATCTGTGAGCCTGCTGTTTTGATGTTTCAAGCAGGAAGGCGTGGCATAAAGAGCTGCTTAGGCGCAACGCTGCTGAAATGGTTTTGGCTAGAAGCTCACAGTGTCTAGTTGTGGCTAAGGAGGGAGGAAAGGGGCGGGAGAAGAACGGACCCAAGCGCCTCCGCCCAGACGGCGCGATAACCCCCTCACCTCCAACCCCGGACCTCAGTGAGCACGTCCTCCAGTCTCAGCCGCCAGGAGGCACTGGGGGCGGGGACGTGGCACAAGATCTTCCCGGAGGTGACCCACGCTCCTCGCGCGCAGGGCGTAAGCCACACACAGATCTTTGGATGGGATCCATGGCGCAATCGCCTGTACTGCCCCCTCTCTGACTTTGCCTGTGGCCAACACAAGACGAACGCAGCCTTTCTAAGGGAAATATGCCGTTACAAACAAGAAGCCTAATTTTGTCTCTAAGACTTGCGCCCCCACGGCTCAGTCTACTTTCCCTCATTACTCCAATTGAATCACAGGTCACAACCAGACCAGGTGGCACGCTCCTTTTGGAGCTTGGAGGTGGCTCTGAAAAGAGCCTTTGGGTTCGGGGCGCCGGGACGCACCTCACTTGGAGCTGGTGTACTTGGTGACAGCCTTAGTGCCCTCGGACACGGCGTGCTTGGCCAGCTCGCCGGGCAGCAGCAGGCGCACGGCCGTCTGCACTTCGCGGGACGTGATGGTGGAGCGCTTGTTTGTAGTGCGCCAGGCGGGAGGCCTCGCTGGCGATGCGCTCGAAGATGTCATTGACGAAGGAGTTCATGATGCCCATGGCCTTGGACGAGATGCCGGTGTCGGGGTGCACCTGCTTCAGCACCTTGTACACGTAGATAGAATAGCTCTCCTTGCGGCCGCGCTTGCGCTTCTTGCCGTCCTTCTTCTGCGCCTTGGTAATGGCCTTCTTGGAGCCCTTTTTAGAAGCCGGAGCCGCCCGCGATGGCTCCGGCATGGCGAGGTGACAAGAGCGCCTAGACGAACGCGGATGCGGGGCCGGCAGGGCTATTTGCCATCTTTATATTCAAATTAAGGCTCCAAATTTGTAGTGTCTGATTGGACGGCCTGACTCCGCGGCCGCCACTGGGAGGAATTTCTGTAAATAGCAGAGTCCGGTTCTTCTTTCCTATTGGACGGCGGTCCAACCAATCCCAAGGCATATCCGCCGCGCGCCGGAGCTGAGGTTGCGCATCTTTGTTCAAAGCCTTTGTTTTAAACCTGGAGATTTTTGTGTCTGCAGCGGATCTGGAGGTAGCTAAAGAGAAACTGAAAAACGGTTGCAACCCCAAATTGAGGTCTTCTCTGGCTGTGAGGCACATACATGGGGGCATTTTTTTTTTCTGAGGCCCACAGCTAGGGAGGGGTAGTTAGTGCTTATTTAGAAGGGGAGGTGGCGGTGGGAATGGCAGTTTGCAACGACCTTAACCCTTCGTTTCTTGCCCTTCCCTCCATTCCTCCAAAGATCAAAGAGATGCATTCTTCTCAGAATTCAATTGTAAATCCAAACGGTTCGTTAGGAAATACAGAAAATAGTACAGAAAACATGCTAAGGTACTTCAATTGGAATTGTCATGAGGCAGAGTTTTAACTGGAGAAATTGAATGGGTTTCAAATGAAACTTAGTCTTTCCTATTGTTTTTAAGGTCTCCCCAAACCCCTTCGAAGTGACAGCCGTAATGCAAAGGGATTGCTATGGGCGATCTCATTTGTTTCCCGGTATCCCCGAGAGGTGGGTACTGTGATTGCTCTAACTCCGTCAGAGCGCAGGCTTATAGAAGGCACTGTCTCCGAGCTGCGCCCCTCTCCCCGCCATTCTATTAATTCCCAATGAAGAAACGTAAGGTGTTGTGTATTTCAGCTTCAACTGAAGAGCTGGTTAAAAAAGCAGAATCTCAGGCCCACTCCTATCTGATTGAGTTAGAATTTGCATTTTAAATAGACTTGTGTGCACTTGACGATTTGAGAAGCCCTAGTCCGGAGGTCATTTATCTGCCCTAGCTGGGGCAGATAATTTACCTCTCCACACCTCCATATACTCATCTGTGAAATAAGGCTGCCAGTGCCCGCCTGATAGCGTTGCTGAGCATTAATGAGTGTGAAGCAGCGGGCAGGGTGCCCAGCATCTATTTTGTGCTTAATTCCTGTTAGCGCCTTTCCTTCTTAGGACTGATCCAGCCATAAGCAGCTTGGGCTACCTCAGCAGAGCCTGCTCTATGCCCCGGGCAGATCCATCACGTAAATATGTAGCACAAACCTTTCTCTCCCACTAGCATGCTGACTAAGCTTAACTCACAGGGAAGGATGTGGCTTTCATGTCTGAGGCTCCAGAGCACAGAGTGTGGCACCAGCAGGGGCCCAGTCAGTATCTGCTTGTGAATAAGCCTGTGAGCTGAGGCAGTACCCTCTACATTCAAGTCTGTCCTCTGAGGTCTTCTGGGCATCTTGAGACTGTGGGTTCCCTGAATGGCTTTGGGCATACCCAGCATTAAGCACTTTATCTGCTTCCTTTTGAAATATGTGGTTGATTTACCAAGCATTTCTAGAGTGCTCACTAAGAGCTGGCTAGGTAACCACTTAATAAATACTTGATTCAATTTAGTTCTCAAACAGCCCTTTGACAAAGATTCTCTGCTTGGCCAAACTCTGGTCAGGCTCCAGAACCTCCTCCTGGGTCCATCTGTGCACTTTCTTGTGAAATCCAGTTTTAGGAAGAGCCCCGCTAAGTCAGTTTAACTAGAACCCCTGATTCTGAATATCTGATCGCCCTCTGTGCTATCTGATGGGGTTCCTCATCCTCCATCCCCAGGTGATATCTGATCACCCTGCCTGCCTCCAGCAAGAGCCATGTGAGGTTCGTTTACCCAGAATCCCCCTCACACCTGATGTCTTCTTCTTCTTCTTCTTCTTCTTCTTCTTCTTCTTCTTCTTCTTCTTCTTCTTCTTCTTCTTCTTCTTCTTCTTCTTCTTCTTCTTTTTGAGATGGAATCTTGCTCTGTTGCCCAGTAGCACAATCTCAGTTCACTGCAACGTCCACCTCCCGGGTTCAAATGATTTTCCTGCCTCAGCCTCCTGAGTAGCTGGGATTACAGGCATGCCTGACCATGCTAGGCTAAGTTTTGTATTTTTAGTGGAGACAGGGTTTTGCCATATTGGCCAGGCTGGTCTCAAACTGCTGACCTCAAGTGATCCACCCTCCTCAGCCTCCCAAAGTGTTAGGATTACAGGCATGAGCCACCGTACTTGGCCCTGATGTCTCCTCTTAATACTGTTCTATCCACTAATCTACCCTACTCCTGTCTATAAATTTCCACTTGTCAGTGCGGTACTCAGAATTGAGCCCAATCTCTCTACCCTGCTGCAGAATCCCACTGCAATGGTCCTAATCCTACTCCACCGTCCTGAATGAAGCCTTCCTCACCATGGTTTAACAAACGTTAATATATGTACATATATAGCACTGCTTGCCTTGGTCCTGCCAGCCCAGTGAGATGCTGGTCTTCCCACCAGGTTCTTACTAAGGCTTCCTGGCTTCCTACTGGTGTGGAAAGGTTTGAAACAAAACTTGGAGTGGGACAGGAGGTGGGCATTCTAAGGACTTTGGGTAAGAATATGTCTTTCAGGTACTAAGATTTAGGATTTGCTCTGCCCACCATATGGTGGCTGCTTGGTGGTGTCAGGAAATCAGTCCTGGTTCTCATGGGTGGTGATTGCTAGGGACTCAATGTCTGCGTTCCCTCCAAATTTCTAGGTTGAAAACCCCCATCCCCAGGGTGATGGTGTTAGAAGGTGGGGCCTTTGGGGGATGATTATGTCATGAGGGTGGAGTGGCATGGTAGGATTCATGCCCTTATAAGAAGAGACACAAGACAGCTTGCTTTTCTCTTTCTCTCTGCTGCAGGGCCCAAGGAAAAACTTTCCTATTGCCCTCTGAAGATTCACTAAAAATCAGCTGACAAAAGACAGATTAAAAGAGAAAAGGCATACACATTTATTTGATCATAGTTTAGTGTGACAAAAAAGCCTTCAGAATGAATACAGAAGAAGCTGTCTATTTTAATGCTTAGGTTCAACAAAATATGGACTGCTATGTAGAAATAGGATTGGGCATGATCTACTGCTAATACACTGAGTGGGGACATCCAGCAAGCCCTGTCTGTCTAGATTCTTCTTGGCCTCTCTGCGTGGCATTCCTTCCTCTTGGGTATGAGACAGGACCCTCTGTGGAATGGGAGTCTTATGACGTACAACCAGACAAGGTGGCCCAGAGAATTTATGGTCAGCATTTGCACAGAAAGGCAGGAGTTAGAGTAATATTTTTAGGATTTGTGTCTGGCTGTGGGGAAAAGGGGTTGCGGTTTTTATGACCTGCCTTGGGGAAGAGGTATTCTAGTTTCTATGGCCAGTCTGGGGGAGAATGGGACTGAGACAGGAAGGCAGGAGATCAGAGAAAGTTTTTTGCTTCAGAGGTCTTCATTTTAGGATATCGCTTTCTAGCACCATGTGAGGACACAGGGAGAAGATGGCTAGGTGCAAACCAGTAAGAATGACCTCACAAAACCCAACCCTGCTGACACCCTGATCTCAGACTACTAGCCTTGGATAATCAGCACTCTTTGGGGGAAAATAACGACACAAAATGTATGTGTTATGTAACTGTAATGTGCAGTTTGTATTAAATGTCTTTTGTGTGTGTGTGTGTGTGTGTGTGTGTTTTTTTTTTGAGACAGGGTCTTGCTCTGTTGCCCAGGCCAGAGTGCAGTGGTGTGATTCATAGCTCACTGCAGCCTCAAACTCCTGGGTTCAAGCAATCCTCCTATCTCAGCCTCCCAAGTAGCTGGGACTATAGGTACGTGCCACCATGCCTGGCTAATTTTTTTTTTTTTTGTAGAGACAGGGTTTTTCTATGTTTCCCACACAGGTCTCTTTTCCCCCAAAGACTTTGATAAATTTCTGTTGTTTAAGTCTCCCCTTCTGTAGCATTTTGTTAGAACAGCCTGAGCCAATTGAGACAGTGTCTCGGATCAAGACCAACATGATGTATTGGCAGACGGACACTATGGAGTAAACTTGAAGCTTTCCTCATGTGAAGAAAAGAAGGAAAAAAGAAGAGAGGGAAGGAAGGAAAAGAAAGAAAGAAGGAAGTAAAGAAAGAAGAGGGACAGTTGGGGAGACGGAGGGAGGGAAGGACAGGGAAAGAGAAAGAAAAAAGAAAAAGAAACAGTGGCCTCTAGCTTAGTGACCAGGTTTAGATGATTAAGAAAAATAATAAACACCTCCCCCCTGCCCCCCGCACTTCTTTAATCGTTCTAGAGTACAGTACTTGGGCTGGAAGCCAGTCCACAAATGTGTTGAATGAATAACTGAATGCATGAAATCAGTCCATCTTTACACCTTAGATTTTTGTGCAGCTCTAGATGATGTATGCTTCTCTACTAGGATGAGGGCTTCCTGCAGTGAGCGCTTTCCCCACCAGCCAAGAAGCCAGGTCCCTTTAAGTCTTACAAACAAGCATTTAATACAGGTGCAGCACGGTGGCTCAGGCCTGTAATCCTAGCACTTTGAGAGACCCAAGCAGGAGGATCCCTTGAGTCCAGGAGTTTAAGACCAGCCTAGCAAACATAGCGAGACCCCTGTCTCTATTTTTTTAAGCATTTAATAAAATTGCACGTTGCAATGGCAAATGCACATGCTCCATCCAGACCCCACCGGTAGAGTGGGATCTGTGTGAGGGACAGCACCCTACAGATACAGAGAGGACAGGCTTCCAGGCTTCTCAAGGACTAGAGGGAACCTTGTACGATTTAAAGCGGAGGAACTGGGAGTGGCTGAAATGACAGGGTGTGCTATGGAGTTCTGCAGGGAACATTGGGGCCTCCCGTAATGCTTGCAGGATTGCAAAGAAGGAAAAAAGGGTTTGGGCAGCCTTGCGCTTCTCAGGGCTTCCAGTTGACATCCTATGGACAAAGGCCCTCCTGCCACAGCCAAGGCGCGTTTCCATCAGGGGCGACTCCTGGGGCGCCTGAGAGCAACCTCCTCCCGGCGCGCCCCCACCCTGCTTAAAGGCACCGGGTTGCGCCGGGCCAGCACCTGGGAGCTCCCCAGCCCAGCGCTCGGAGCACGGGGGACAAAGGCCGGTGCCCCCGGGGACCTGATGCCCAAGAGGGCAGGCCCTCTGACCAAGTCGAGGAGGCACACCGGCTGATTCCCAGCGCCCACGTCCGCAGGAGCAGCTTTTGTGCTCATTTCCATTGCATTTCAGCACTTAGAAAAGAGCTGCAAATGCCAGCGACAGGTGGTGTGGATGCAGAAGCAAAGCAGGAGCATGAAAGCCAATCAGTGAAACAGAGGCAGGCCCGGGCGAGGGCACCAGCCTGGGAACCCGAGGCGTGCTCCCTGAGCAGCAGGTTTGGGGTAACCTGAACGGCGGCCTTTGGTGGCCCTGTCCACCCAGCGAAGCAGCTCCTGCCCTACAGTAGCTTTTGGCGAAAAGCTCTTCAAGGCCAGTGATCTCCCTTCCCCAAGCTAATATTATACCACAGATTTCTCTTCTTACGTACTGCAATTAAATATCTTACGGGCTGCTGACTGCGAAGCTGGTGGCTTCAAGCAGCATTTGGAGAAGATATGGAAACCGGCAACGTACCTATCACAAGACATAAGGGAATTTTATGTAATAAATAATAAATAATAAATATTTATTATTTAACCAGGAGAGGTGGTTTCCACCAGGGAAGGGAGAGCCGGGGAGTGTGCGGGGAGGGGTGCCCTACGGTGGGCTAGGAGGGGTGCAGGGGGAGTGCAGGAGGAGGTGGGCAAGTGGGGGATACCGGGGTGGGGCGGGTTGGGAGGGGAGGGGCTCTCAGATGGGAGACAAGAAGTATGCGGGGAGGAAGGGGGGTGGGGGAGGGTGGCGGGGAGGGGAGCAGGAGTTGGGGGAGGGGCTCCGGGGGATGGGTGGGGAGGGGAGCTGGACTGATCCCCGATTTACCCTGAGGAACACGCAAGCCGGCCTCCTCCACCCTGTAAACCCCGAAGCAGCCTCATCCCTGTGCCACACGGGGGTCGAGAAATCTTGGTGACATGCAAAGATTGGGGAGAAAACATTAAGGCGCAAACGTGCATGAAATACAACAAATTCCAAACTCAGAAATAAAACCGAGGGTCGCAGAGAGGCAGCGGAATGAAGGGTGGCTTTGGAAAGCTCGAGAAGGCGCATCAGCCAATTGGTTTGTGGTGTGAGGCGGGTGAGAATGAATTTAGAACCAACTGGATACTGCACCCCTCAGTATTGGGGCGTCACAGCACCGCGGCACCCCTGCACTGCGTACCCATCTTCCCCGGCACCCCTGCAGCCCCAGCATCCCAACACTCCTGCACTCTGGTGCCGGGGCTTCCCTCTATCCCTGGCACCCCTGTGAACTCAGCACCACACCATTTGACAACTCTGCTCCCGGCACCCCTGCACTTCTGCACTCGGGTACCACTGCACCCCTGCATTCATATCCTCTGCCCCCACACCCCTGTAACCCCAGCACCCCCAGCATCCCTGCAACTGGTGACCCTTATAATCCCAGCAGCACCCCATCTGACACCCTTGCGTCCGGCACCCCAGCACTGCGGTACCCCGGCATTCGTGAAGCAGAGCACCCTGGCGCCGCATGCCCTGAGCCTGGGCTGCCCCTTCGCGCAGGAACCCAAGACGGAACCCACTCGCGTTGCGCCCGAGGAGGTGCGAGGCTGGTCCGCCAGACCCGCCCAGCACGTCACCAACACACCTAAGGAAGCCGGCTCCGGTGCCGCCTCCGTGGGGCGCAGGCTGGAGATGAAGGTCCAGGTCTCTGGACTGCGCAGAAACGCTTTTCCCAGAACCGCCCAAGACATTAACTAGGTGAAGTGGGTTATTTTCCCGAGTGCATTTGACGCTTCTTTCCCAGGCCGGGATGGGAAAATGGGCTGGCCACCGGGTCCCTGTCCATCTGTGTCCTCCAAAGGAGGCTGGAGGATCACTTGGGGCCAGGAGTTCAAAACCAGCTTGGGTGACACGACATAGCGAGACCTCGTCTCTACAAAAAAATTTAAAAAGTTAACGGGCGTGGTGGCCTGCGCCTATCGTCCCCCAGCTACTTGGGAGGATGAGGCGGGGCCATCGCTTGAGCTTGGGAGTAGGGGGCTGCAGTGAGCTGTGATCGTGCCATTGCAGTCCAGCGTAGGTGACAAAGCAAGATACTGCCTCCAAAAAAAAAAAAAAAAGCTAACCTGAGTCTAGACTGGACTCCCCAGCCAAGTCTTCTAGTCTTGTTTTGTAGCCTCAGATTCTGCACCCTGCTGTCTTCTTAAGTCACCCCTAGGGGGCATTTTGTTCCAGTGGAAGAGCAGAATATGCCTCCTGCAAGATGAGGGATTGTTGGGCTCAGGGCAATGGAGAAGAAAGTATACAGGAGAGCTCACTGCCCTCCCTCTGGGTGGCTAAAAGCAGGACATGGATTTACAGAAGGCATCCAGCCCCCACCCCACTTCACCAGGGAGAAGGGAGGTTAGCACTGAAGACAACTTTGCACCTTTATTGACTGGAGATGCTACCAGGGGATCTGCATTAGCAAGGGCTACTAACTAGACTTCATGTGTCCTTTATGTGCCTTTCTCCAAGTTGCTGTTCCTAGAGACTCAAAGTTCATCTCTCTTATCTTGTCACTTCTCTGCAGATTTACTGTTCTTTGTTGAAGATACCATAAAAGCGGGAATTCAAAGCCACCTCTTTGAGGACTACCCATTCTCTGGGGGCCACGCATGTATCTAGGAAAGGTAGCTGCTAGTAAGCTGCTATTTGTGCCTCTTGCTAATGTGTCTTTTATAACAGGGGTCAGTTTCAACTAAGAATTGATGGGGTGGAGGGTATTTTCCCCCTACATGATGTCATTAATGTGCTGGACCATCAAATAAATTCTAACACGTAATCAAAAAATTCTTCCTTCCAGAAAAGTAAGAAACTCCTATACTTTCTCTAGCAGGAGGGCTGTGGCCTGTTTGGTTTGCTATTTTAACCGTTTATCTACCCTGTGCCTACACCTGCATGGGTTCTCAACTGTACAGCTGACCCTTGAGCAACCAGAGTTTGACCTTTGAGGGTTACCGATACACCGCTTTTCTCCAGCCTTTGCTACCCCTATCCCTGAGACAGCGAGATGAAGCCCTCCTCTCCTTCCTCCTCCTCTGCAGCCTCTCAGTGTGAAGACCACGAGGATGACCTTTATGATGATTCACTTCCTTTTCATGAATAGTAACTACATGTTCTCTTTCTTAGGACTTTCTTAATAACATTTTCTTTCCTCTAGCTTACCGTATTGTAAGGACACAGTATGTAATATATAGAACATTCAAAATTTGCCTCAATCGACTGCTTATGTTATTGGTAAGGCTTCCAACAGTAGCCTATTAGTAGTTAAGTTTTGGGGGAGTCAAATTATATGTGAAGGCCAGGCACCATGGCTCACGCCTGTAATCCCAACATTTTGGGAGGCCAAAGTGGGAGGATTGCTTGAGGCCAGGAGTTTGAGACCAGCCTGGGCAACATAGCAAGATCACATCTGCACAAAAAAATAAAAAATACAAAATTTACCTGGCCATGGTGGCTCAGGCCTGTGGTTCCAGCTATTTGAGAGACTGATGTGGGAAGACTGCTTGGGCTCAGGAGTTCGAGGCTGCAGTGAGCTGTGATTACACTCCAGTATGGGCGACAGAGTGAGACCCCAACTCAAAAAAAAGTTATACTTGGATTTTCAACTGGACAGGGGTCAGCACCCTTAACCCACGCTGCCTTGTCCAAGGGAGAGCTGTGCATCCAATTACACAAGTGCTTTCTGAATGCTTTTCCCTCCTGTTCTTCCTGTCTAGCTTCTAACACCACCCTGTCCCCACCTGTAGTAACAACTTCCCTAAATTCCTCCTTATGGGCTATACAATTTTTGGGGAGAGGGTTTCCCAAAATGTGGTTCTGATATCCACACACCTACCTAACATTTCTTACTCTACATCCTCAGGGGGCTGGTCTCGAACTCCTGACCTCAAGTGATCCTCCTGCCTTGGCCTCCCAAAGTCCTGGGATTACAGGTGTGAGCCACCGTGTCCGGCCCCCAGTGAGATTTAAAAACACTCCTCAAAGGCTCCAGCCTCAAGCTGAATCTTCTACAAAACTGAACTCACCTTCTCACCCCAGCTCTCCACTCCAAGGGACGCACACCACATAGAAACCCTGGTGGTGTCATCTCACTCTTCTCCATTTCTAGTCAATGGCCACACTTCTCTCCCTAGCTCAGCACCATGGTGCTGCTCACACACGGGCAGGCATTCTAGATGAGTCCCCCATCTGGCCTAGGAACTTCCTCCCTGGCACTTGGTCTCCCTCCAACCAGTTCATGTTTCTGCATTGGGGCACTGAGAAATTCCAGCACCTGGTCACATCTCTATTGTGTAAGCCCTCACTATGTACATGGTCCCTGGATGCCCCACCCACAATCCTAATCCTGCAGCCCAGCCAGGACTCCCTGCCATCTCTTCTTCTGGGCCTCCTCTCACTTTTTAAAAATAGAATTAAAGGCCGGGCACGGTGGCTCACACCTGTAATCCCAGCACTTTGGGAGGCTGAGGTGGGTGGATCACGAGGTCAGGAGATCGAGACCATCCTGGCTAACACGATGAAATCCCGTCTCTGCTAAAAAATACAAAAAATTAGCTGGGCATGGTGGTGGGCGCCTGTAGTCCCAACTACTCGGGAGGCTGAGGCAGGAGAATGGTGTGAGCCCAGGAGCTTGCAGTGAGCTGAGATCGTGCCACTGCCCTCCAGAGTGGGAGAGAGAGCTAGACTCCATCTCAAAAAAAATAAAAATAAAAATAAAAAATTAAAAAAAAAATTACTCAGGTACAGTGAGGCCAACAGATCAGGAGACAAACACCATTGAAAAGATAGTTTATTACTCACAGTTCCCAAGAGGAGGGGTTTGCTATTGCTAAGCCTTCGATGCCACGAGGGATAGCGCCAGGGTCAGTTAAGAGGCAGATGGAGGGAGGGGAAAGTGTGGGCAGGAGCCTTTACTGTGGCTTTCACTGGAAGGAGCAGGCAAGGCAGACTAAGCTAGCTCACAATGGCTGGTTTGAATAAGCCCAGCAGGCTCTGGGTACCTAACCTTGGGATGCTTTGGGCCACACACCAAGAAAGCAATTCTATAGATTCCCCAGTGGACACCAGCTGGGTGTCCTCCAATGCAATGCAATTCCGACAGCAGAAAAATGCAAATGGGAAATTTTTAAAAGAGTCTTCAGTTTTGGCAGGTTGGCAATATGTGTAGGTATTAACCTGATGTACTCCTTTTAGTCTCCTTTTATATAAGACACAGGGGCTGGACTGTGCCATTCAAAGACATCTCTCAATTTCAACATTTTGTGATCCCCCTCACCCTTTTTCCATTTACACATAGAAAATTTGGAGTGCCAACCAAAATAACAGAGAGAGAACGATAGTGGCCTGGAGTGTGACAGCTCCATAGATGAGTGGTTGGGGCTGTGGGCTCTGGGTTGGTGAGTTTGTATATGAAATGCACAATCCCAGTAATTTTTTTTTCTAGCTGTAAATTTTTTTTTCTAGCTATAAAATTGTCCCCGGGAGAAGCTGTCCCTCCATGGCCAGTGAGGCCCTGGATGTCAAAGCCTCTGAAAATATAGAAAATCAAAGGCATGGTTACTACACTTGCATTCCTCTATCCTGCCAGGAATGCTGTTTGCTCTTTTTGGGGCTCAGAAACTGATACCCCAGCGCTTTGACATGCTGAACTGAATAAGAAGCCTCCAGGTCTCTCTGACCTTCCCCTCCTTCCTGTCTCCCAATCTTCTGTCTCTCCCAAAGCACTGGATGAAGCTGTTCTCTGAAATTCCCCTATCTGCCTAAAGTGCAGACCTGCTGCAGCAGAAAACAATGGCCTCCGATCCCTTCCCTGAGTTTCAAACGGCTGAACTCTCATCACAGGAATGAGGACTGAAGTCGGTCAACATGCCTGGACAGACCTTTTTTTTCTAGCTGTAAATATATTTTTTAGCTATAAAATTGGCCCTGGTAGAAGCTGTCTTTGTCACAAACCAACAGACTGTCCCAGACCATTGTATGTTCTTCAAGCCCGTTGAATTTCCCTAAAAAATATTTACTATCCCCCTAAAATAATGCACACTTCCTTATCTCCCTTTCCCCTAAGAGGAGAATAAAGGCCTCTGCACCCCATTGCATGGTGGGGTAACCACCCTGTGATTCTCCCCATGCATGTTAATAGATGTGTAAGCCTTTCCTCCTAGCAATCTGCCTTCTGTCAGCTGATTTTATAACAAAACTTCAGAAGATAAAGGGGAAGTTTTCCCTTGGCTCCTAAGCTGTCCACCCTGTTGATCAGAAGCAGGGCAATGCTGATAACACACCAGTAATGTCCTGATCCTTGATGCTCCTGCCCCGCAACTTTCTAGGTCTGTGCAGTTAGCCCACATCTTTTTTTTCTTTCTCTCTCTTTTTTTTTTTTTAGACGGAGTTTAGCTCTTGTTGCCCAGGCTGGAGAGCAATGGCGCGATCTCGGCTCACCGCAACCTCTGCCTCCCAGGTTCTCCTGCCTCAGCCTCCCGAGTAGCTGGGATTACAGGCGTGTGCCACCACACCTGGCTAATTTTGTATTTTTAGTAGAGATGGGGTTTCTCCATGTTGGTCAGGCTTGTCTCAAACTCCCGACTTCAGGTGATCTGCCTGCCTCGGCCTCCCAAAGTGCTGGGATTACAGGCGTGAGCCACCGCACCTGGCTAGCCCACATCTTATGATGTCCCATGTCTAGAGAGAGGGCTGTCGTCAACAATGACCTCAGATGCACACAAACCCTCAGTCAGTGCAAGAATCCAAGTATCCCCAGAGGGCCAGCAAGTCCAGTTCAAACAGGAGCTGGGAGGAAACCTGGCTGGTGCTCACCTGCTTGTTGGGGTAGGGGGCTGTTATAAAGTGAATTATGTCCCTTGAAATTCACAGGTTGAAGTCCTACCCCCAGGACCTCAGAATGTGGCTGTGTTTGGAGACAGAGCCATTAAAGAGGAAATAAAGGTAAATGAGTTCCTTGGGGTGGGCCCTACTCCCATAGGTCTGTTGTCCTCATAAGAAGGGATTAGGGCACAGACTCACAAGGAGGGATGGCCCTATGAGGACCGGGGAGGAGACTGCATCTACAGGCTCAGGAGAGACGCCTCAGGGGGAAATGACCTTGTTCACACCTTGATCTCGGACTCCAGCCTCCAGCACCATGAGAAAGTAAACTTCTATTGTTTATGGCACCCAGTCTCTCTGCTGCAGTGTTATGGTGGTGTGAACCCTAAAAATCTGAGACAGGTCTCAGTTAATTTAGAAAGTTTATTTTGCCAAGGTTGAGGACATGTGCGTGACACAGCCTCAGGAAGTCCTGCCAACACGCGCCCAAGGTGGTTGGGGCACAGCTTGGTTTTATACATTTTAGGGAGACATGAGACATCAATTAATATATTAAGAAGTACATTAGCTCCATCCCAAAAGGCGGAGACAGCTCAAAACAAGGCCGCCCCACCCACACTGTACTGGGGGCTTCCAGGTCACAAGTAGATGAGAGAGACAGATGGTTGCATTCTTTTGAGTGTCTGATAAGTCTTTCCCAAGAGGCAATCAGAATATGCGTCTATCTCTGTGAGCAGAGGGATGACTGAATAGCATGTGAGGTAGATTTGACCTGAGAGGTTCCCAGCCTGAAGGGGTCCAACTATCTTCCTTTCACAGCGGCCTGAACCAATTGAGACAGGGAGGTTGCAAGTTTTAGATGGAAGAAACCACAGAGCTGTAACTTATGTCTGAAGGGTGTGCAAGGCAAGCAAGGCCCTTTTGTGCTCTAGTCCGTATTTTTGTCAACATCCCGGTTCAAGCTGGGAACCAAGTGATAGGATCTGAACAGAGATTATCATTCATTCACTTCAGGGACCTGGGAGAGAAAACCAAATTTGCTTGGGTCAGGATTATGGAATTGCTTTATATATAGTGAATCAAAGGCTTAGAATAATAATAATAATACCTATTATTATTATTACTTTCAGTTTAGAAATATCTTAGCTTCTAGGCCAGGCATGGTGGCTCATGCCTGTAGTCCCAGCACTTTAGAAGGCTGAGGTGGGAGGACCACTTGAGCCCAGGAGTTTGAGACAAGCCTGGGCAACATGGTGAAACCTTTTCTCTACAAAAAATTTTAAAACTTAGCCAGACTTGATGGCACACACCTGTAGTCTCTGCTACTTGGGAGATTGAGGTGGGAAGATTGCTTGAGCCAGGGAGGTGGAGGCTGCAGTGAGCCCTCATTGCGCCATTGAACTCTAGCCTGGGCAACAGAGCAAGAGCAAAGCCCTGTCTCAAAATAATAATAATAATAATAATAATAATAATAATTTTAAAAACATTATGTCTCTAAATTTGTTGTAATTTTGTCTTTTGATAGGCATAAGGATTAGATTGAACTAAAGGACACTGAGAATGCATCTCTTAAGTAAGTAAATAAAATAGAAATACCTTAGGTATTTGAACTCTGAAAATTTGAGACAGGTCTCAGTTAATTTAGAAAGTTTATTTTGCCAAGGTTGAGGACAGGCACTCATGACACAGCCTCAGGAAGTCCTGACGACAAGTGCTCAAGGTGCTCGGGGCACAGCTTGGTTTTATGCATTTTAGGGAGACATGAGACATCAGTCAATATATGTAAGTACATTGGTTCAGTCTGGAAAGGCAGGAAAACCTGAAGCAAAGGCAGAAAGATTCAAAGTGGGGAGGGGCCTTCCTGGTCACAAATAGGTGAAACACAAACAGTTGCATTCTTTTGAGTTTCTGATTTGCCTTTCCAAAGGAGGCAATCAGATATGCATCTATTTCAGTGAGCAGACGGGTGACTTTAAATAGAATGGGAGGCAGGTTGGCCCTAAGCAGTTCCCAGCTTGACTTTTCTCTTTAGCCAAGTGACTTTGGGGCCCCAAGATTTATTTTCCTTTCACGGGTATATTTAGATATTTAGAATCCTAATTTTTTGAGCAATTTTGACATCTGAAATATTGAAAAGATTACCATTACAATTGCATTTAAAATGAAACATTGAGTAATTGGTTTTGACATGAGTTTTTAAGTTGAAAGGTTTAAAAATTATGCAAAGGCTATCCATAATATTGGATAATACAGTTAGCTTAATATTCGCCATCTTTAAGGGTAGCAGTTAATTTTGTGAACGTTATCTCTGCCTGCGTGGAGGGTTGCAGTGAGAGAGGCCAGGGCTCCTGGATGTTGAGGTATGGATGGTAGCCCAGCCCACCCATGCTGTCTCTGGCCCTGCAGGTGACCACAGTCCCTCATTTTTGTCTGTGGTGGCGATGGTATCTGTGCAAGGCTGTGGTTTTTTTTTTTTTTTTTCTTTTTTAATCAGGCCCCTTCGTCATTTCCTTCCTTTTCTCCCTTGGCCCCTAGCTGGTGTGTGGCTCTGGGCTTGGGCCCTGCTCGAATGCATCCTCTTTCTCTGGCCGGAGCTGGTTCCAGCCCATGATGGGAGGTCTGACCACTGGGTCCTCAGGCCCTTCCCTGGTCATGATAATGGCATCAGTGCCTGGCCCAACACCCACCCTGGATATCTGGAGGAGGGGAGCTCTGATTTGCTGGGCTGGAGTGGCTGTCAATGGAAGCCCGACCTGGCCATTTGGCCTTGAGGAGACAATTGCCTGGGGCTGTAGGGGGACCACCCAGGAGGAAGGGGACGGAGGAAGAAGTGTGTGTCCTGGGACATCCCCAGGCTCCCAGGGCTCACACTGCCTGACAGTATCAGGCTGCACTTGCAGTCTCAGGAGCCACAGGCCACCCTCCTCCACTGTCATTTACAGCCATCTGCAGTTAGGTCCTGTCACCCGCAACCTAAAGCTCCTGACACATCAAAGCAGCACACAGAGGCTTGTGGGAGTTGATGCCATCAGCCCATTTGTAATGTGTCCTCGATTTGAGAACCATGTTGGATAAGGTTGTGGTCATCAGTGGGCACTCATTTTAGTGAGGCAAGGGTGGGATTGCCTAAATGCATGTGAGATTGAAGAGCCAAGAAGACATTTTGAATTGTATTATTTATTTGACTGTGGTTGAAACATGCAGCATGAGTTGTGCCCTCCAAACAGATCTGGTGTAGGTACAGAACTGCTCAGGTATCATTTATTGCATGCTACTCTACTCAGGCACAAGGCTCTAGTTAAAAAGCATACATCTCAGCTCAGAGTCCACCTTTATCACCAGCCTGTGTGGGCCCCCTCTTATGTACACACACACACACACACACACACACACACACACACACACACTCCCAAGTACCTTGCCTGTTAAACCCATTTTCCTTGCTTAAAGGAAAGGGGTTTCCATCCCCTGCAACTCAAGACATACAGGAAAAATCAATGGACATGTTTTTTTCCAACTCTCCACTCAACATGACCCTTCTGCCACCAGATGTTGGCAGGAGTGTTTTCCCACACACCAAGCAAGCAACTCTGCAGATTCCCCAGTGGACACCAGCTGGGCGTCCTCCAGTGCAATTCTAACACCAGAACAATGTAGACAGAAATGTTTAAAAAGAGACTTTATTTTCAGCAGGTTGGAGTGTGTGTGTGTGTGTGTGTTTGTGTGTGTGTGTTAACATGCTTAGTCTCCTTTAGTAAGACACAGGGACTGGACTGAACCATCTGGAAGACATCTCTCCATTTTGACACTTTATGATTCCCCCCTACCTTTTTTTCACTTACACATAGAAAATTTGGTGTCAACTGAAATAAACCGAGACAAGCTCTCTAAAAGAAATTTATTTGGGAATAAAGCATTGCAATGGGAATACGTGTGCCATAGTAAAAAGTAAGTGCGTATTCAGAGAGGTAAAGGAAGACAAAGGTTTTTAAAGGAAAAAAATAAGAAGAATTACATAATTGTTTTGAAATAATTATCTGTGGTTAGAAATATCAATAACAAGGGTGACACCAGTCCGAAGTTAAACAGGAGGTTACTGGGGAGATGTCCTTGCAAATGTCTTTTTTGTGTACCCTGGCGATGTCCTCTGAGCAAGGCTGTGGTTTTTGTAGTCTCTTTTTTTTTTTAAATCAGGCATGCAAGCCCAAAAATCTTCTCTTCAGGACTTCTCCAATCCTATTGGTCAGGGTTTTGTGAACATTCGTGACTCCATTTCTATTCTGACAATTTTCTCAGGCAGAAGAGCAGAGTGACTTCATACCACGTAGGAAGTTGTGTTTCTTAGTTGTATTTCGCCTTTTAGGAGCAATGAAAATTAATTACTTCAGATTCCTTTTTCCCTGTGCCGGACATGAGATTTCCCAAGTCATATCTTCCTATCCAAACATCCTTGCATCTCCCATATTTCTTTTAAATACACAGCTTATGGCCTCTTCAACATTCGTTTTTGTACACTCTGATTTGTGAGACTACAATTTTAAACAGGGTAACCCGCAATGCCATAAAATACATATAACAAAAGACACATCAAATATACAAGGGAAATGTGGGATTAAAATTTCCTGTAATTAAGGCTGGGTGTGGTGGCTCTCAACTGTAATCCCAGCACTTTGGTAGGCTGAGGCGGGTGGATCACATGAGGTCACGGGTTCGAGACTAGCCTGGCCAACATGGTGAAACCCCATCTCTACTAAAAATACAAAAATTATCCGGGTGTGGTAGTGTGTGCCTATAGTCCCAGTTACCAGGGAGGCTGAGGCAGGAGAATTGCTTGAGCCCAGGAGGCGGAGGTTGCAGTGAGCCGAGATCATGCTACTGTACTCCAGCCTGGGTGACAGAGTAAGACTGTCTCAAAAATTTCCTATAATTAGAATCGTTTACCTCTCTTCTAGTCATCCATTTTTTGGTTGTTTCTGTTGCCTTACAAAAAAAAAAAAAAGACTGGCCAGGAGTGGTGGCTTACGCCTGTAATCCCAACACTTTGGGAGGCCAAGGCAGGTGCATCACCTGAGGTCAGGTGCATCACCTGAGGTCAGGAGTCTAAGACCAGCCTGATCAACAAGGTGAAACCCTGTCTCTACTAAAAATACAAAAATTAGCTGGGCGTGGTGGCAGGTGCCTTTAGTCCTAGCTACTCGGGAGGCTGAGACAAGAGAATTGCTTGAGCCCAGAAGGCAGAAGTTGCAGTGAGCTGAGATTGTGCCACTGCACCCCAGCCTGGGGGACAGAGTGAGACTCTGTCTCACAAAAAAAAAAAAAAAAAAAAAAAAAAAAGACTTCATCGCACTCTTAGAGAAAATATTCACATGCTTTTGTGGTTGCCAGTGAAATCCCCAAACATTTTACATTAATCAGTTGAAAATATTATCCTGAGAAGATGATGGTTCAGCATCCAGCACCGTTTTGTGGCGGAACAGTGTCTTATTCAGTTCTTTGATGCCAATGCGATGGGAATTCAAGAGCCCAGAGACATCCAAGACTCGTCAATGTTCTTCTGTCTTTGTGGAATCTATGAGATGTCATGCTGAGAAAAAACAAACAAACAAACAAACAAACAAAAAACCCACTGCCCACTTTGATCCTGTCTCTGATCAGAAAGTGAAAGCCTTCAATTTTCCAAACAGTTCAAGAGGCACATGAGGGAGGAGGAGTACTCTTTCCCCACCCAACTGAGTGCTCAAACGGCATCAGGCTCAGTCTCTAATCTGGAGGGTAGAGAGGAGGGAGGCTGGACAGAGAAGTGCCAGGAGGCTCAGAAAACAAGACCCAAAATGAGGACATCCTAAGCAGCCTCAGAAGCAAAAAGTTTTCTCTGACCTTCTCTGGCCCTCTGTCTCTAGCCCCTCATTCTCCCCTGTCTGGCCATAGAAACTAGAATCCCTCTTCCTCAAGGTGAGTCATAGAAACTAGAACCCAAAGCCAGCTATAACACTTAAAAAATATGACTCTAATTTTCTTTCTGCCTTTCTGTGTAAAACCCAGCCATGAAGAAATGATCTGACCTACCTTGTTAGACTGTAGATCTTAAGACCCTCACTCCAGAGAGGGTCCTGGATGGAAGGAAGGAAGGAAGGAAGACTGCTCAGAGAGGCCATAAGAATCTAGACAGACAGGCCTGGCTGGGTGTCCCCACTTAGGCTCTTCTCATTAGCTCCGACCCTATTTGCCCAATTCTATTTCTGCATGGCTGTCCATACCTTGTGGAACCTAAGCATAAAAATGGATGATTTCCCTCATATCTTGGCCAGGCATGGTGGCTCACGCCTCTAATCCCAGAACTTTGGGAGGCCGAAGTGGGCGGATCACAAGGTCAGGAGATCGAGACCATCCTGGCTAACACGGTGAACCCCCGTCTCTACTAAAAATACAAAAACTTAGTCGGGCGGTATGGCACGTGCCTGTAGTCCAGCTACTCGGGAGGCTGAGGCAGGAGAATCGCTTGAACCCGGGAGGCGGAGGTTGCAGCGAGCCGAGATCGCGCCACTGCACTCCAGCCTGGGTGACAGAGCAAGACTCCGTCTCAAAAAAAAAAAAAAAAAGGACGATTTCCCCCATATCTTTAGGTTTGTATAGACACAGTAAATAAATGTGTCTGCCTTTTCTCCAATTGATCTGCCTTTTGCAATTTTTCTTTCTTTTTTTTTTTTTTTTGAGACAGAGTCTGGCTCTGTCACCCAGGCTGGAGTGCAGTGATGCTATGTCAGCTCACTGTAGCCTCCGTCTCCTGGGTTCAAGCGATTCTCCTGCCTCAGCCTCCCGAGTAGCTGGGACTACAGGCATGCAGCACCATGCCCAGCTAATTTTTGTATTTTCAGTAGAGATGGGGTTTCACCGTGTTGGCCAGGATGGTCTCCATCTCCTGGCCTTGTGATCTGCCAGCCTCGGCCTCCCAAAGTGCTGGGATTACAGGCGTGAGCCACCGCGACCAGCCTTTTGCAATTTTTCATCAAAATTTGAGAGGACCAAGGGTTCCCCTTGGCACCTACACCAGCCACCCTGTCTTGGGAAGTGGGGATGCTGGCACCACACAATGTGGATTCTGCTGGTGGTAAGGGAGAGAGGCTTTCAGGCAACAATCTTTGCCAGTGTATACTTCCAAAAGTCTCTAATGCACACATGTGCAAGTTCATGGCTGCTACCATTTGCTAAGCCATGCCCCTAGTATTGGACCTTCAAGGTTTTTTTTTTTTTCTCCAAAATGAATAGTGATATGACATACATTTCTCTTTCTTTCTTCTCTTTCTTCCTCTCCCTTCCTCCCTCCCTCCCTTCCTTTCTCTCTTTCTTTCCTTCCTTCTTTTTCTCCTTCCTTCCTTCCTTTTCTTTCTTTCCTTCCTTTCTTCTTTTTCTTTTCCCTTTCTTCCTTCCTTCCTCTCTCCCTCCACTCCTTCCTTCTCTCCCCCACCCCCCGCCCCCACCTCTCTCTCTCTCTCTCTCTCTCTTTCTTTTTTTTAAGACAAGGTCTTAAAAAATTCTCTCATTTCCCAGGCTGGAGTGCAGTGGCATGATCACGGCTCACTACAGGCTCAATCTCCTGTGCTCGGGTGATCCTCCCACCTCAGCCTCCCAAGTAGTTGGGTCCACAGGTGCGTGCCACCACGCCCAGCTAAATTTTAAAAATTTTCTGTACAGACAGGTTCTTGCCATGTTCCCCAGGCTGGTGTTGAACTACTGGGCTCAAGCTATCCACTCACCTCAGCCTCCCAAAGTGCTGGGATTAACAGGCATGAGCCACCTCTCCCAGCCACATTTCTAAACAAAACAAAACAGCCCAATTTTTTACAACCCAATTTTTATTATTTTCATTTCCTGTTATTTTTATAGTTTGTTTTCTAAGAAAAGGAATTCCAATCAGAAAATCCTTAATCGATACTGCTACGTGGATTACAAGAAGCAGTATTCACAGAATCAAGTGTTTTTTTTGTTTGTTTGTTTTCTGTTTTTTGTTTTTTTGAAATGGAGTTTCACTCTGTTGCCCAGGCTGGAGTGCAGTGGTGTGATCTCGGCTCACTGCAACCTCCACCGCCCAGGTTCAAGCGATTCTCCTGCCTCAGCCACCCAAATAGCTGGGATTACAGGCACGTGCCACCATGCCTGGCTAATTTTTGTATTTTTTTTTTTTTTTTGAAACTGAGGGAGTCTTGCTCTGTCGCCAGGTTGGAGTGTAGTGGCATGATCTCGGCTCACTGCAACCTTCGTCTCCCGGTTCCAGCTATTCTCCTGCCTCAGCCTCTCAAGTAGCTGGGACCACAGGCGTGCACCACCATGCCCAACTAATTTTTGTATTTTTAGTAGAGACGGGGTTTCACCATGTTGGCCAGGATGGTCTCGATCTCTTGATCTTGTGATCCACCTGCCTCAGCCTCCCAAAGTGCTGGGATTACAGGCGTGTGCCACCACATCCAGCCTAATTTTTGTATTTTTAGTAGAGATAGGGTTTCACTATGTTGGCCAGGCTGGTCTTGAACTCCTGACCTCAGATGATTCACCCGCCTCGGCCTCCCAAAGTGCTGTGTTTACAGGCCTGAGCCACGGCTCCCGGCCAAGTTTCCTTTTTTTTGTTTGGTCTGCTTACTTAATAGTGGAAAGAAAGAGAGTCTCGTTTTATTTTCCTCTTTCTTAACTGGGCAGAGTGTACATTTTTTTCTCATGTGTGTTCAATCATTTGTGTGCTTTTTTTTTTGTGATTTGAAAAATCCCATGACAAGGTGTATTTTCCATCATGCTTTTCCTTACCTAATTTTATAAACTCTTTGTATATTTGTGGTTACAATGTTCCTAATTTGGCTATTTGCCTTTAATTATAATTTTTGATATTTTCTCATTCACAAGATTAGTTCATTATGAAGTTTGCTCATTTTTTATATTTTTTACTTTTCTCTCCAGCAAGTTCCTAGTTGACTCAACAATATCAGCAAGGCTCGGCTGGAAGCCTCTAATCTTTACTACACAGAAATAACCTCGGTTTACTATTCATGTTTCCCACGGGCATCTAGTGCATTTCCAAGTCGATTTAAAAAATCTTCACAAAGACAAAAATACCTCATTAGATCCTGCGCTTGCTTGGAATACAGATTTATAAAAATTTTTTTTTGTTTTTGTTTTTTAAGACAGAGTCTCGCTCTGTCGCCAGGCTAGAGTGCAGTGGCACGATCTTGGCTCACCGCAACCTCCGACTCCCTGGTTCAAGTGATTCTCCTGCCTCAGCCTCCTGAGTAGCTGGGATTACAGGCATGCGCCACCACGCCCGGCTAATTTGTGTATTTTTAGTAGAGACGGGGTTTCACCATGAGCCAGGATGGTCTCATATCTTGACCTTGTGATCCGCTCGCCTCGGCCTCGCAAAGTGCTGGGATTAGAGACGTGAGCCACGGCGCCCGGCCCAGATTAATTTTTTAAAATGCAAAACTTGCACAATCTTATTTTAACCATGCTTGCTTGTTTTCAAAATAATTAAAAAACAAAAACACAAGATTGCTCTTCCCAAAGGCTTATTTCTTTCCTTTAAATTTATTTTTTAAAGAAAAGCTAACGGCCGGGTGTAGTGGCTCACGCCTGTAATCCCAGCACTTTGGGAGGCAGAGGCGGGTGGATTACGAGGTCAGGAGTTCGAGGCCAGCCTGGCCAACATGGTGAAACCCCGTCTGTACTAAAAATACAAAAATTAGCCGGGCGTCGTGGCAGGCGCCTGCAATACCGGCTACTCGGGGGGCTGAGGCAGGAGAATCGCTTGAACCCGGGACGCGGAGGTTGCAGTGAGCCGAGATCGCGCCACTGCACTCAAGCCTGCCTGGCAACAGAGCGAGGCTGTCTCAAAAAAGAAAGAAAAGCAAAGCAAAGCTAACAAATGCTCTTCTGTCATGCATCATCACAGAATCAATGAGAGCTCCCCCCAGCCAGGAGACAGCGGACAACCAGGGTAGCTTCCCAGGGGGCCAGAGGGAGGCTGCGCGAGAAGAGGCTCAGCGGGATGGGTCCACGCAGGGAGATCCCACGCAGGGTGGGCGTATACGAGTGTCCACGTCCGGAGGGCCGTTCAAGGGCGGGTCCCTGAAGGAAGGGTGCACGCAGGGCACGTCCACGCGGGCAGGCCCGTGCACGCAGGGCGTGCCCATGCAGGGCGGGTCCGTGCAGGATGAGAGCAGCGGAGGAGGCCCACGCAGGCCATTTCCCGCCCCGTCCCCAGCCCACGCGGGCGAGCTACCGCGGGGGTACGCGCAGCTCAGATCCTAGCAGCTTACAAAAACAACCTTTTAAAAATGGAACCTTCAAGTAAAAATAAAACTTTGTTTCCCTCTTTCGCAGGAGTTACTGAAGTAGGAAGGGACAGCCCAGTAAGATTTCAGGATACGACTTGGGCCGGTCCGCAGGCAGTAGAGTGAAGCGCGCAGCTGCCAGGACTTGCGCGGTGACGTGCGCCGCTGCCAGGACCTTGCAGGTGGAGAGCATAGTTGCCAAAATCAAGGCGGAGGAGCGCACCGCCGCTAGGATCCAGGCGGAGAAGCCCACCGCGGCCAGGACCTAAGGATGCAGTACACTGCTGCCAGGATCTTGTCTGTGGAGCGCAGCGCGGCCAGGACCTCCGGCTGCAGCACACCGCTGCCAGGATCTTATCGGCAGAGCGCTCCGCGGTCCGGACCCCGCCCCGTGCGCGTCCCCGACCCCGCCCCGTGCGCGTCCCCGGCGTTGGCGTCTTCGTCCTGTTGCTGGTCTCCGTCCGGTCGCCGGCCGTCTAGGTCTCCGGCCCTCCCCAGCCGCTCCTGCGCCCTTGCCGGCCCCGCCGCCCGCAGCCCTGGCGCTCCCTGCGGGCCCCGCCGAGGCCGCCTGCGCCCTGTGCCAGCGCGCGCCCCGGGAACCGGTGCGCGCCGACTGCGGCCACCGCTTCTGTCGGGCGTGCGTGGTGCGCTTCTGGGCCGAGGAGGACGGGCCCTTCCCGTGCCCCGAGTGCGCCGACGACTGCTGGCAGCGCGCCGTGGAGCCCGGCAGGCCCCCGCTCAGCCGCCGCCTTCTGGCGCTCGAGGAGGCGGCCGCGGCGCCCGCGCGCGACGGCCCGGCCAGCGAGGCCGCGCTGCAGCTGCTGTGCCGCGCCGACGCCGGCCCGCTCTGCGCCGCCTGCCGTATGGCTGCGGGCCCCGAGCCGCCCGAGTGGGAACCGCGCTGGAGGAAGGCGCTGCGCGGCAAGGTGCGCGCCGCGGGGTCCCGTGCCCCACCCCGGACGGTGCCCTGCGCCTCTCCGCCCCCGCCCCGGTCCCCCTGAGCCCTGGGCCCTTCCCGTCTCCACTGTTCCTGTCCCCGGATTGTCCCCGTCCCCGGATTGTCCCCCTCCCCTCACCGCCACGGGTCCCCTCTCCAGCGTGTGCTGGGCCCCTCCCTCCTGCGGCTTGCCTCCCCATATTTCCTGCGTCTCTTCGGAGTCTGGTCCCCTTCCCCGTCTTGGTGTCCCCTGCTGGGCGGTGCCTTATCTCCCCACCCCCTACCTTCTACGAAGTCCTTCCCCCACCAGCGCCCATCTTTGTGGTCCCATCACTAGCTGTGCCCTGTCTCGCCCTCATAGACCCCCTCTAGTTCCTACAGATTGACTCCTCCACTCACTCTTCCCTTGGGGGAGACATCACGCCTCTTGCCCCTCTGTATTCCACTGTGTCCACAGGCCTGGCCCACCTTCTCGTCTGCTCCCCGGGCCACCCAGCCCTCGCCTGCACCCCCTGTCCCCTCTCCCATCTTTCAGAAACCCGCTCTGAGAGTCTGGCAGCAGCGGGTCCGGGAGTCTGGAGCCTTGCCCATGGCGGGTTGGTTGTGGGACACAGAATAGGAGACAACAGCCAGCCTGGGGTCCTGCTCTTCAATACAGGGGAGGGGAAGCCAGCCAGACTGTGTCCCTGGGTGCTCCTCCTGCATTGGGGGTCCTGCCACCGGGCAGAGCGACCCCCATCCGGCTCAGGCAGGGCAGGGTGTAGGGCAGGCTGTGCAGACCTTTGGTACAGGCCGAACTCACACTGAACAGGGCCACTTACAGACACAGAACTCCTAAACCCACCTAGACAGTCCCCTTAGCCCCAGCACCCAGATCCTTCTGAATAGGTGTGAAGCCCAAGAAACCTTTTGACTGCCTGTGCGTTCCTGCCCTAGACAACCGGGCTTCGAGGTTATCTCTGGGATGGTCAGACTGTGTGCAGTCAGCTGGGGTGATGTCCCTCAGTACTGGGCTGGGTTGGGGGACCCAGAGCTTCTGCCCACCCCTGGTGACCTTCTTTTCTTTACAGGAGAACAAGGGGTCTGTGGAAATCATGAGAAAGGACTTGAATGACGCCCGGGACCTGCATGGCCAGGCAGAGTCAGCAGCTGCAGTGTGGAAGGCAAGTGGGGGGACCTGGGGCAGCCTGGAATGAGGGGACTGTGGGCTCAGGGCTCTAGACAAAGGGACCACCAGGCCAAGTGGGCCAGGCCTCTGAACTGCTCAGCTGGTTGGTTGGAGGAGGGGCCTCTGGACTTAAGTGAGCTTCAGGGTATTTTTTTTAGGATGTGTTTGTATTTCTCAAATAGAATCTAGCCAAAGCCAGTGGAAGCCTCTTTTTCTCCTCACATTTTACCTGTAGGTGATGGCAGCATCAGACTTCTTTTTTTTTTCCCAAGAGACAGAGTCTCACTTCATTACCCAGGCTGAAGTGCAATGGCATGATTGTAGCTCACTGCAGCTCGAACTGGCCTCAGGCGATCCTCCCACCTCAGCCTCTGGGACTATAGGCACGTGCTACCACACCTGGTTAATTTTAAAATGCTTTTCTAGAGGTGGGGGTCTTGCTGTGTTGCCCAGGCTGGTCTCAAACTCCTGACCTTAAGCGGTTCTCCCGCCTTGGCCTCCCAAAGTGCTATTTTTTTTTTCTTTTTTAGAACACATCTGTAATTTTCTGTGGTCCTCTTGTTCTGATCTGAGAGTTGCTCATTATTTTTTAGAGGCTAGAAGTCCAAGATGAAGGAACTGGCAGATTCCCTGTCTGGTGAGGGCGTTTCCTGGTTCATAGATGGTGTCTTCTCACTGTGTCCTCACATGGTGGAAGAAGTGAGGGTGTCTCTGGGGCCTTTGTGTAAGGACACTGATTCCGTTCTTGAGAGTTCCACCCTCACAACCTCATCACCTCCCAAGGGTCCTGCCTCCTAACGCCATCACCTGAGGGATGAGGATTTCAGCATGGGGATTTGGGGAGGACACAGACATTCAGACCAGAGCAGCGTTACTTTCCTTGGGTGCCTTCCACAGTATTATATCCCAAGGGGACATCCCATAGATTCTTTTAGGTTACTCACCAGTAAAGCTCTTTAGTCGTTTAAACTCTATTTGGTGACTTTTTCCTCGTGTAGTAAAAACCTGTGTGCCATTTTCTCTGCGTTTCATAAATTCCTATCTCCTTCTTTTAACCTGAAAGACAGAGTGCTTTTCACAGGTGCAGCAGCTCTTGGGTAACTGGCTGCATCTCGAGGCTGAGGCCCACGTTTTTACCCCAGCTTGAGGCTGAGGTGGGCTCTGTGCTCCTGGTGCTGCCAAGCCCTTGCCTGCTATCCACAGGCCTGAGGTGCAGGCCTCCCTCAGACAGTGACGGGTTACACATGGGGTCCCTGATGCCACTCAGACCCCTGGCACTCCACACTGCCCTTGGGGCTGCTCTGAACTTCTCCTTGCCTTGTGAGTGGTCAACACTGCCCAGTGCAAGTGAGGCTGGAAGGCTTTGGGGACCTCCAAGTTTTCAGTAACCCTGTGTTACCCCAAGGGAATTGTTTTGCCCACAGATTTTAGCAGGTTGGAGCTTTCAATCTGTCCTGTTTTGGGGGTTTGTGGCTTAGATGCTGGGATGAGAGAAGCCACCTAAATCCAAAGGAAGGAGTTTGCAGCGTGTTGCATCAGCCAGCCAGCAGACACCCAGCTGTCATTTGCATTCTCAGCAACAAAAGCCTTGGCCCCTCATGACTATGGGTGTCACCTGCCCTGTGTGGCCCAGGGCCAGGTGGAAGCCATCCATGACTGAGTAAAATCAGAGTAGCATCCTGCTCTGCTCTCCTGTTTGCAAGGTTAGGAGTTGGCTGAAAACCAGCTGAAGAGTGGCAAGTGTGAATGCTGTTTGTTGAAGGCTGATGGGATGGTTTTCAGCCATTGGAGTTCTGGTGTGGGCACAGCAGGGACAGTTGCTGGCAAGATGGGTGTGTGTCCTGCCCTGACAGTCACGTGCCTGACAGGCTCTAGACCTAGCAGGGCCACTCAAGGATTTACTGTCCCCTTGGCCATGGGAGATGGGAGAGGGACAGTCTTCCTGTGCAGCTGAGCACTGCAGTGTAGGGGAGAAAGAACTCTATTTCTCCCCTTTTAGGGCCCCAGGCTGGGCGGGAGAATTAAACTGACATAAGCTAAACTAACAGGGTCAGGTGCAGTGGTTCATGCCTGTAATCCCAGCAACTTGGGAGGCTGAGGTGTAGGAGGATTGCTTGAGGCTAGGAGTTCGAGACCAGCCTGGGTAACATAGTGAGACCACCATCTGTACAAAAATTAATAAATTAGCCAGGTATGGTGTTGCATCTGTGGTCCCAGCTACTTGGGAGGCTGAGGTGGGAGGATCACTTAAGCCCAAGAGGTTGAGGCTGCAGTGAACTGTGATGGCACCACTGCACTCCAACATGGGTGACAGAGTGAGGCCCTATCTCAAAAAAAAAAAAAAAAAAAAAATAAAGGGAGATGGGTTAATGGGAGAAAAAACATAGGATTTTTTTTTTTTGAGATGGAGTCTTGCTCTGTTGCCCAGGCTGGAGTGCAGTGGTGCGATCTTGCCTCACTGCATCCTCCACCTCCTTGGTTCAAGTGGTTCTCCTGCCTCAGCCTCCCGAGTAACTGCGACTACAGGTGTGCACCACCACGCCTGGCTAATCTTGTATTTTTAGTGGAGATGGGGTTTCACCATGTTGGCCAGGCTGGTCTTGAACTCCTGACCTCAAGTGATCCAACCACCTCGGCCTCCCAAAGTGCTGGGATTACAGGTGTGAGCCACCGTGTCCAGCCAGGCATATTAATTTAACACAAGTTTTATACAGCACAGGCTCCCTTATAATGAAATGAAGACTCAAAGTGGCAAAATTAAATCACTTATATACTGACTTGGACAAAGACTAGCCACTTGTAAAAAAGCAACTACATGATGTGGGGATGCTTGAAAGAGTTGTTTTCACAAGGTCTGTACCAAATTCTGTCGGCCTTGACTTCCTGTCGTCCTTGATGATAAAATCATTTTATTTGATATGGGGAGGGCGTCTTTCACTTGGGAATTTCATTTGCTTTTAAGAAGCAGAATGGAGGTCAGGGTGATCTTGCACTGTTTTTTGATTTTTTTTAAAAAAGGCCTTGCTCTGTTGGCCCAGGCTGGAGTGCAGTGGTATGGTCATAGCTCACTGCAGCCTCAAACTCCTGGGCTCAAGCGATCGTCTTACCTCAGCCTCCCGAGTTGCTGGGACCATAGGTGTGCACCACTATGCCTGGCTAATGTTTTTGATTTTTAGTAGAGACAGGTTTTCACTGTTGCCCAGGCTAGTCTCGAACTCCTGGGCTCAAGCAATCCTCCCACCTCAGCCTCCCAAAGTACTGTGATTACAGGCATGAGGCACCGTGCCAGGCCTCTTCTGTTATTGTTTTTTTTTTTGTTTTTTGTTTTTTTTTGGCTCACCGCAACCTCTGCCTCCCAGGTTCAAGCGATTCTCCTGCTTCAGCCTCCCAAGTAGCTGGGACTACAGGCGTGCGCCACCACGCCCAGCTAATTTTTATATTTGTAGTAGAGATGGGGTTTCAGCAGGTTGGCCAGGATGGTCTTAATCTCCGGACCTCATGTTCTGTCTGCCTCAGCCTCCCAAAGTGCTGGGATTATAGGCGTGAGCCCCCGTGCCTGGCTTTTTTTTTTTTTTTTTTTTTTTTTGAGATGGAGTCTCGCTCTGTCGCCCAGGCTGGAGTGCAGTAGCATGAACTCGGGCTCACTGCAACCTCCGCCTCCTGGATTCAAGTGATTCACCTGCCTCAGCCTCCCGATTAGCTGGGATTACAGGCGTGCCACCACGCCTGGCTCATTTTTGTATTTTTAGTAGAGACGGGGTTTCACCATGTTGGTCAGGCTGGTCTTGAACTCCTGACCTCATGATCCGCCCGCCTTGGCCTCCTGGAGTGCTGGGATTACAAGCGTGAGCCACTGTGCCTGGCCTAATAGTCGATGTGCCTGAGCAGCATGTTTTGGAGTGGCATGTTCTTAACTCCTTCAAGAGCAAACAGGTTCCCCTTCCCCTGGGGAGGGTGGGTGAGGACACAGGTCTTTTCCTGCCACCCGTTTGCAGGGACACGTGATGGACCGTAGGAAGAAGGCACTGACCGACTACAAGAAGCTGCGGGCCTTCTTTGTGGAGGAGGAGGAGCATTTCCTGCAGGAGGCTGAGAAGGAGGAGGGGCTCCCTGAGGACGAGCTGGCTGACCCCACTGAGCGGTTCAGGTCACTGCTGCAGGCGGTCTCGGAGCTGGAGAAGAAGCATCGCAACCTGGGCCTCAGCATGCTGCTGCAGGTGCGGGAGCCCCGCTGGGTCTGCCCACCATCGGGCCAGGGTGGACGCAGGCAGCAGCGAGCCATTGGGGGACCATTGCCCGAAGTCAAGGCTTAAAAGCCCAGCCTGACTCCCACTGCCGTGGCCTTGCAGGGCTGAATTTCGGGAATGGGTGGGTGGTCAGGGAAGGTGATGGGAAGGGGTTTTAAGTTGAGGAGGGTCTGAGGTGTCCCTGACCTTCACAAAGGAGGGCACTTGGCATCCCGAGTGCCCGAGCATGGAAGGCTCCTGCCTCGCCCTGGGGTCCTGAAGGCAGAAGCAGCCAAGAAACCCAACCTCAGGGCTTTTCTTCTGCCTCTGCCCAGGGCCTGGCCTGAACCCCAGACCCTGCAGCAACCCAGATGGCCCTGAACGGTTCAGTTGCCCGTGCCAGCCATAGGTGACAAGGCTTTGGCCCTGGGGAGACGGAAGTCTGGGCCAGGCCCTGGGTTTGTTGTGCTCAGGACAGTACCTCATGCGCTGTCTCATGTGCGCTCTCTCTTTCGCTCTCTCCTTTTGCCTCTGTCTCTGACTCTGTGTGTCTCTTTCTCTTTTTGTCTCTCTGTCTTTCCCTCTCCCCTCCCATGCAGTGATGGCGCCAACCCGTGGCAGTCCCAGAGCTGGAGGCAGGAGGATGGATCCTCATCTCCATGGGAAGTGTCAGCGTGTGGCTGCCAGGGAAGCGTGGCAGGCGCCTGGCCTTGGGTCCATCTACATAGTTGCGTGTTTCAACAATGTCCATTTATCCTTCACCCCGAGGCGTGTTTTGGGGGCTGCAAACACCTCCCGGTAGAGGCTGGACCTGAGGACCCTTCCCACCTGTGCCCGTCCCTTCCTGAAGTCCTAGCCACAGCCCATCCTCCATGAGTCCCGGCAGCTCTGGGTCATGCCCTTCCCTGGTCACCCATCTGCCCCTCACCTCGTCATCCAGGGACCCAGACCCTGCACCTTCCATGTGGGCCCACAGATCCTTGGCAGGTACCTGAGGTGCACCATTGAGTGTCGGATTTGGGGTTAGCATCCAGAAAGAAGAATGCGCATGACGCTCTGTGAAGGCTGGAACTCAGGTCTTCAGGGAGAGAAAGGAAGACTGGATTGCACCTTGATGCCTCCTGAGGAGGCGGCCCCCCTCTTGAGGTGGGCGTGGGCCCGGCCCAGCCTTATCCAAGTCGCTCTGTCCACCTCCCCCTTCCTGGCCCCCACCCCACTCCTGTGCCTCCCAGGAGCCCTCCCTGTGCTCCACCTGCCTCCGCAGAAGGAAGCCTCTTTCTCTGTTTCCCTGGGTGAGGGGGCTGGCAGGTGGCTAACCCCATTTAGCATCTCCAGGCCCTGCCATCGTGTCTCATCTTGCTGTTATCTCTAGCTCTTTCCCTCCTCCCATTTCCTTTAGTAGTTGAATTTTGCAAAGCTTGTAGCAGTAGCTCAGTTGCCTGCAGCATCCTTGTGTGTAGATAAATTAGTCGACAGAAACTCAGCACTGGGGACAGGATTGCAAAGTCGGGGACATAGATGCAGACAGTTGTTGAGATTTGGGGATAGCCGGGCTTGTGAGCGGTGCCCATTTCCAGATGAAGCCTTTCAGCCCTTCTGAGTCCCCGGCCCTTGGTGCGATGTCTGTGAGTTTGACCTGCCCAGCGTGTGGGCTGGCTCAATGCTGAATAAAGTGGGTTTGTGTCAGCTCGTTTGCTTCGTCTCCGTGTGTCCACCTGGCCTCTTCCCCCTGCCCTGGCCACCCTCCAGTGTCAAAGGAAACTTCCTCGTGACACGTGCTAAAGCATGGTGAGGAGGACTTTGATTGGGACCATTGAGATGGGTGTGGGACCCTTTCCTTGGGGCCTGGGGGGAGATGGGGCTCCACCCCGACGTAGCAGGGCAGGGGTTGGAGGAGCGAGGAGCAGTATAGGGTCCATGGGTGGGAATGACTGTGAGGAGACATCAGGGCTGAGGGGGCTCTGGCTAAACCCACCTCACAGAGTCCTTGCTGCAGGCAGGCAGGGCGATCAGACATTGGCTGCAAACGGTCAGAGAGGAACCCAGTCAGGTACCATTGAGGGTGGTCAGATATTATGGTTAACCAAATTAGGGTTCTTGCTAAAACTGGATTTCATAAGAAAGGGCAAAGAGGGCCCTAGGAGAAGATTCCAGAGCCTGGCCAGAGTTTGGCCAAGTAGAGAATCTTTGTCAGCACGCCAACAACATCCCGACCCTGAGACCTCCAGTTTGTCTTTCTCACTGTCTCCGCCTGCTGCAGTCTGCTGTCATCCCTGAGCATCCCTGCCCCTGCCCTGCACACCTGTGATGCTTGCCCGGACAGGTCCTGATGGCAGAGTCTCCCACAACATCAGTGTCTCCACATCACCAGGTCCGACAGTGGCTTCACCATCCTCACCTAACCTAGCTGACCAGCAACATCCCACCCTGTCAATCACAACCTCTTTCTATTTAAGAAAATTATATATTTATGGGGCACAGTGTGATGTTTTGATATCTATGTACATTGTGGAGTGACAGATTAATGTATCCATCTCATGTTTTTTTTGGTGGTGAGAATATTTGAAATCTACACTCAGCAATTTCAAATACAGTCATCCCTCTGTGCCTAAGGGGGATTGGTTCCAGGACCCCCTCATGGATACCAAAATCTGCAGATACTCAAGTACCCTGCAGTCAGCCCTCCCTCTGCACATATGTGGGACAGTCAGATACAGAGGGCCAACTGCGTACAGTACACGGTTATCAGCTGAAGTCACCATGCTGTGCAATAGACCTTGAGTTTATTCTTGTATAGCAGGGACTCTGTACCCTCTGACTAGAATTTCCCCAAATCCTCTTGTCTCAGCCCCTGCTAACCACCGTTCTACTCTCTAATTCTATAAATCAACATTTTGATTCCACATATAAGTGAGATCATGTGATATTTGTCCTGTTCCTGGCTTATTTCACTTAATATAAATGTCCTGTAAATTCACCCATGTTGCAAATGGCAGGGTTTCCTTTTTTATGGCCAAATAGTATTCCATGATGTGTATACACCACATTTTCTTAAGCCATTTATCCACTTTATCCCTTTATCACTTTGCTTCTAGACCACGTAGGTTGATTCCGTATCTTGACTGTTGTAAAAGTGCTCTTAAGAAACACAGGAGTGTGGGTATCTCTTCCATATATTCATGTCGTTTCCTTTGGGAAAATACTTAGCAGTAGGATTGCTGGGTCACGGTACTCTTTTTAAGTTTTTGAATAACCTCCATATGCTTCTCCATAATGGCTATAATAATTTACATACTCACCAACATTTATTTTCTTTGAAATTAGTCATTCTAAGAAGTGTGAGATAATCTCATTGTGATTTGGTTTACGTTTCCCTGATGATTAATGATGTTGAGCATTTTTTTATATACCTGTTGGCCATTGGTATGTCTTCTTTTGAGAAGTGTCTCTTCAGGTTCTTTGCTCATTTTTTAGTCGTTTATTTGCTTTCCTGCTATTGAGTTTGAGTTCCATGTATATTTTGGATATTAACCCCCTACTTAATGTATGGTTTGCAAATACTCTATCCCAATTTGTGAGTTGTCTTCACTCTGTTTATGATTTCCTTTGCTGTGCAGAAGCTTTTTAGCTCTATGCAATCATGTATGTTTATTTTTCTTTTGTTGCTTGTGCTTTTAGGGTCATATGCAAGAAGTGATACAACCCTGAAACCTAGGCCAGTGTCATGGAGTTTTTCACCTGTGTTTTCTTCTACTGGCTTTACAGTTTCAGGCCTTACAATTAAGCCCTTGTCTGTTTTGAATGGATTTTTGTGTAGGGACATTCCCTCCACAAGGGCTTTCTCTGGCCTTGCTGATGCTCCTCCGTCTCCCTTGTGTCCTCTCCACTCCACCCTCTTCATGTGGAAGAACCCTTGGCATCCTCGTGTGGCCTCTCTGTCCTATCCAGCCCCCCATGGTGACCTCACACTTGCCTCTCTGACGTGGGTCTCTCTCCCAAACCCTCTTCCAGGTCCAACCACTGCCTCCATCCCAGACTTGCCCAGGGGCCCAATCCCTGCAGTCCTCAGACATCTCAGAGCTGTCTCTGAGTTGTTTTCTCTAACAGTCCACAATAGGTCTGCAAAGGAATCCTGCAGGCTCTTCCTGTAGCCAAAGACCTTGACCTCATCTTACCTGCTCCCCGCCAGTCCCCCACCGTGGCCCACTGGCACTGTCCTCTTCTGCCCAGGAGACCTGGGGACCTCATCTCCTCCCGCTGCTCCAACAATGCATTCTCAACCCAGCAGGTAGATGGGTTTCTACTTTAAAATATGTAGGATGAACCAGTCTGGTGATCCGATGTACAACAGGAGGAATGTAGGTAATAAAATTGCACTGTTTTGGGAGTTCCTGCTAAATGACTAGACTTCAGCTGCTCTTGCCACAAAATCCTAAAAGTGGTTGACTCTGGGAGGTGATGGGAATGTTAATTGCTCCCCTGTAGTGACCATTTTGCTATCTGTTTGTACTTTGTAACATCACGTTGCATACCTTAAATATACACAATGAAATTTATTAAAACAATGAAAATAAAAACTAAGCAAGAGCCTGCCCCTGCTGTACTCAAGGCCCTGCAGCAACTCAGATTCATTCCGGGAAAGCTTCGCAGTGGCCTGGGAAGTGCTACATAATCCACCCCGAGCTCTTCCTCTCTCGTCACCACTGTGCCCCCTGCTCCCTGCAGACCCAGCATGATGGCCTCTCTGTTCTTCAGCAAGCCAGGTGGGCCCTGCCTCGGCCTCTGATCTCCAGGGAACATTTCTCCCCCATACCTGTGTGGCGGTTGCCCCTCTCCTTCAGGTCTGCTCCCACAGGGTGTTTTATAGAAATGGCTTGAAACAGACGCCCTTCCTCAGCCCTTGACCACGCAAGCTCTGAGGAGCCACTGGTGTCCCTGTGGCTTTGCTGCAACCAGATCTCTCTGGTCAAGGGCAGCCCTAGGCAGGAGGATCTCCGAGGCTGGCTGTGGGTGACATGTGGAAGGAAACTGAGGCCAGGCACTGCATAGAAAAGCAACAGTTTGTTTGCTGGAAGGTAGGGGACACATTCTCAAGACACTGATGTATTTGTCCAGTAGCTCAATACTTTTTTCTCAACTCTTATTTTCAGAGCTTTGTGGGAAAGCCGTGGATAGTTGGGACCCAAAGGTCGTTTTCAGTTTCAGGATCCTGTGGCCAAAGAGAGGAGATAAAAATGCTTGGGGCCATTTTACCTTCTACATTACCTAACTGAGTAGCTATTATTTCATGAGGTTGACAGCAGCAAAATATAAGGAGATGCTTAAACTATTTAGTAACTGGAGAATCATAATTAAAACCATAATGAGATACTGCTTTAGCTCGGGGTGGGTTGGGGCGGGGGTGGTTCGGGCGGGTGGTGGGAACTGCAGCACTAGGTGATGTTGAAGTCTGAGTGATGATGGCACATTAGGTGAGCCCAGAGGTGCTGTGAGGAGTGTAGAATAAGGCCGCTGCTTTGGAGTGCAGTCTGGGGTCAAACTAAAAGGCATACCTTGGAGAAACCATGGGTTTGCTTCTAGACCATTGCAATACAGCAAATACTGCAATAAAGCAAGTCCCATGAAATGTTTGGTTTCCAAGTGCATATAAAATGCTTTTATAGGCTGTAATGTAGTCTACTAAGTATGCAGTAGCATTATGTCTAAAAAAGCCAATGTATGTACCTTAATTTTAAAATACTTTGTTGCTAAAAAATGCTAATGATCATCTGAGTGTTCAGTGAATTGCCATCTTTTTGCTGGGGGAGGGTCTTGCCTCAATGTTGGTGGCTGCTGACTAATTAGGGTGGTGGCTGCTGGAGTTTGGGGTTGCTGTGGCAATTTCTTAAAATAAGACAATGAAGTTTGTCACATCAATTGACTTCCATTCAAAAGACTTCTCTGTAGCATGTGTTGCTGTTTGATAGCAGTTTACCCACATAACATCTTTAAAAATTAGAGTCACTCTTCTCAAACCCTGCCACTGCTTTATCAACTAAGTTGATGTCAATTCTAAATCCTTTGTTGTCATTTCAACCGTGTGCACAGCATCTTCACCAGAAGTAGATTCCATCTCAAGAAAACACTTCCTTTGTTCATCCATAAGAAGCAACTTGTCATCCATTCATGTTTTCTCATGAGACTGCAGCAATTCAGTCCCATCTCCAGGCTCCACTTCCAATTCTCGTTCTCTTGCTGTTTCCACCACATCTGCAGTGACTTCCTCCCCTGAAGTCCGGGATCGCTCAGAGTCATCCATGAGGGCTGGAATCAACATCTTCCAAACTCCTGTTCATGTTGCTGTTTTGACCTCCTCCCATGAATCATGAATGTTCTTAAGGCATCTAGAATGGTGAATCCTTTCCAGCAGGTTTTTAAAAATTTTCTCCCAGATCCATCAGAGGAATCATTGTCTAAGGCAGCTGTAGCCTTATGAAATGTCTTAAATAATAAGACTTGAAAGTTAATTATGGAAGTTAACTTGAAAGTTAATAAGACTTGAATGTTGTGTTAATGGCTATTTTAATATTTTAATGGACTTAAAATAGTAAACCATGCAGTAAACAGATGTGCTGTCATGTAGGCTTTGTTGTTTCATTTATACAGCACAGGTAGAGTAGATTGAACATAATTCCTAAGGGCCTTAGAATTGTTGTAATTGGTGAATGAGCATTGGCTTTAATTTGAAGTCGCTAGCTGCATGAGCCCCTAACAAGAGAGTCACCCTGTCCTTTGAAGCTTTGGAGCCAGGCATTGGCTTCTTTCTAGCTATGAGAGTTCTGGATGGCATCTGCTTCTAATAGAAGGCTGTTTTGTGTGCATTGAAAATCCGTTGTTAGTGTGGCCCCCTTCATCAGTGATCTTAGCTGGATCTGCTGGAGAACTTGCTGCAGCGCCTTCATCAGCTCTTGCTGCTTCTCCTTGCATTTTTATGTTACAGTGATGGCTTCTTTTTTTAAACCGCATGAACCAACCCCCGCCAGCTTCAAGCTTTTCTTCTGCAGCTTCCTCGCTTCTCTCAACCTTCATAGAATTGAAGAGAGGATCTTGCTCTGGATTAGGCTTTGGATTAAGGAAATGTTGTGGCTGGTTTGATTTTCTATTCAGACCGTGCACACTTTCTGCATATCTGCAATAAGACTTTCGCTTTTTTATCATTCGTGTGTTCACTGGAGTACTTTCAGTTTCCTTCAAGAACTTCTCCTTTGCATTCACAGCTTGGCTGACTTTGGCACAAGTAGCATCTTTCTGCTTTGGATGTGCCTTCCTCACTAAGATTGATCATCTCTAGCCTTTGCCTTAAAGTGAGAGGTGTGTGACTCTTCCTTTCACTTCAACACTTAGGGGCCATTATAGGGTCATTAATTGGCCCAATTTCAGTATTGTTGTGTGCCAGGGGATAGGGAGGCCTGGGGGGAGAGAGAGAGGCAGGGGAATGGCTGGTCTGGCGAGCAGTGAGGATGTACATGCCATTTTTCCATTAAGTTTGCTGCCTTGTATGGACGCAGTTCTTGGCATCCCTAAAGAATTTCAACGGTAACATGAAAGATCCCTGATCACAGATCACCAGAACAAAAGGAACAATAACAAAAAAGCTTGAAATATTGCAGGAGTTACCAAAATGAGACACAGACACCAAGTGAGCACATGCTGCTGCGAAAATGCCACAGGTCAGCTTGCTCAACGCATGGTTGCCACCCACCTTCAATTTTTAACAAATGCAGTATGCGAAGCGCAGTAACATGAGGTATAGGCTGTATATGAAAGGCAGTTAGACCAACCGGACGCTAGGGGGAGCCAGTCCCCAACACCGGGCTTGTTTCTCACACCAGCGGCATGTCTGTCGGGTGAGTTGTTCCCAAAACCACCTCCGGTTCTATAACTCACTAGAAAAGCCCCCAGAACCCACTGAAAGCTGCTACGCTTTCCGTTACAGTTTATTATGGGGAACGGAGACAACTTTAAGTCAGCCAAGGGAGGAAACCCATGGGGGAGTCCGGGAGAGGTAACAGAGCTTCGACTGTCCTGTCCCCGTGGTGTCTGGGCTGTGCTACCTTCCGGGCACCCTGTGTGACTGCACGGGGAGTTCTGCCAACCAGGGACACTGCCCAGCCTTAGAATCCTGGGTCTCTTCTGGCATCCAGCACCTAGGGATAGCTGACTTCCCACATGGCCAGTCTTAGTCTCCAGCCTCAGAGGAAGTCGAACTGCAGGACTCAAAGGGCCCCTACCGCACATCACATTGCTGCCGCTGGACTTGGCTCAGGGACTCCCGCCCCCATGTCACAGTGTTCTCTTCAGTGCAGCCAACCTACCCTAAACCACATTATGGGACTGTCCAGTGTGACCCAAGGCCACCAGGCAAACAAAGACCCTCCTGTCAGGCATGGCATCCCAAGGGCTTTGAGGTCACTTCCCAGCAGCAGAGTGCAAGGGCAGGGGGGTGTTCTTGGGAACAGCTCAGTTGTGGACTATGCAGTTTGCATGCCCACACTGTGGTCTGAAGGTGTCCCACCCTCCACATTAGTACGTTGAAATCCTCACCTTCAAGATGATGGTGTTATGACATGGAGCATTTGGAGGTGATGAGTTCATGAATGGGATTACTGCCCTTATAAAAGGGACCCCAGAGAACTCCCTCATCTCTTACACCATGTGAGGACTCAGTGAGAAGGTGCTGTCTATGAACAAGGAATTGACCTCACCAGCCACTGGATATGCTGGTGGCTTGATCTTGGACTTCCGGCCTCCAGAGCTGTGAGCAGCACACTTTGGTGGTTTCTAAGCTGCCCAGGCTGTCCACATGGACTGGGATACTATGTATTGCATCAGTTCCACCCCTGGGCTGTTATGCCAAAGAGATGCCCACAGGGTTCCATGAGGGCACAGGCATGGGATGGTTACAGAGCCATTGGTTGCTGTGGTGACAGGTCCTCACTGCTGAGGATGTGGAAAGGTGAATATGGTGGAGGCCTCAGTGGTAACTGAACTGAGTAAAAATTGTTCTGCTACAAGGGCCTGCACATGGGGTGCCCTTGACAAGAGATGTGCACATGGGATTTGCACATGGTGGTGCCCTAGGTTGTGTGTATGTGTGCATGGATCAGAGAACTCCAGGAAGAGCCCATTTTGCTGACGATTGATTCCTAAATGCAAATGCAACTTCTTCCAAGATGCAACGTGCAGAAGAGTGGGGGCAGGGCAACAGGCTATTGCCATTCCTGAGAACCGGGCTTACCTTTTTGGAAACCTGTGGATAGACTGCCCATCCAATTGCTGTTGGTGGTAGGATGTCCCCAAGTCTCGTTCTGCTGCAGGAGAGTGGGGTCACTGAACACAGAGCTATCTACAGCTGCAGAGGCTGTCTGGCAAGCACAGGGCTGTGGATACTGCACCCACCAATGGGCTGAAGGACTTTGCAGCTCAGGAGCCTCATTGGCTGTGCCAGAGTGCGGTTTGTCTAATCTATATCCCGCCCTTTCCCCTGTAAATTTTGAGCCCTCAAAATCATCTTTAGAGAAAGGCATAGACCTGTCTCCTAGGCTCATCCTTAACTTTGGCAAATACATTTTCTAAGGTGATTGAGACTTGTCTCGTCATTTTCCCCTATTGACAGGTCCCTCTCATAAGGAAACTAATCCCATTTGTGAGGCTCCACTTTCATGACCCAGTCACCTCCCAAAGGCCCCACCTCCTAATACCATCACCTTGGGGGTAAAGATTTCAATATATAAATTTGGAGAGTGGGACACAAACATTCAGATTGTAACCCCAGTGACTGGATTTAGGGCCCACCTGAAATCCAGGATTATCTCAATCCAAGATTCCTAATCAAGTCTGCAAACAGGAAGTCCTGTTTTTCAAATTGGATCACTTTTGTAAATTCACAGAAGTGTCATTTTGGAGGGTTACCATTTAGTCCTCTCTGCGGGGTGTCTTAACTTCAATCCTCTTGGAGGCCATCTGTTGAGAAGTGTGTATGTGCGTCATATATCCATGTTATAGGTGAGGAGATGGAGGCTCAGGGACATTAAGCAGCCCCGCATCCCACAGCTAGAGGCTGCAAAGTCAGGACTGAAGCCCACTGGAGGACCCCTGTGCCCTTAAGAGAGATGTGGGGGTGGCGGCTGGACCGAGGAAGTGGATTAACTGCAGTAGATAGCGCAGTAGAGGTGAATGGAGCTACAGAGGCAGCTGGCTCCCTGCGAGCACTTTTGGGATGAGGGAACCTGCAGCCCTGGCTCCCGGGGTGGGCCATGTGCCACTGGGGTTGCCCTTTACTGTGTGATGCCATAGGCTACCTGGGGAGGTTCCTGGCCCCAACACCACCAAACGCTCCCCCTTCCTTTTCTCTGGATTTTATTTTTGCTTTACATATATTTTTAATTAACACGTAATAATTGTATATATTTGTGAGGTTTTGTTTCTGTAATTCCTTCCTTCCTGTCTGGTGCATAGGGAGGTGCCCCATAAATGTCTTCAGTGAGGGAATGACTGCATCGCCCCACGCTCTGCTCATCCTAGCAGGTGATGGGGTCTTTCTCCCCACCCCTCAGAGCAGGTTTTACACTTTCAGGTTTGAGGAAAAAGCATTTTGAGAATTGTTATGGGTTCCATTTTGTATCCCCTGCCCCCCAGTCATCTGTTGAAGTTCTAACCCCAGGACCTCAGAGTGTGACTCTAATAAGCCCCCCTTGTCCTTGGGGGATACATTCCATGACCCCCAGTGGATGCCTGAAACTGAGGATAGTACCCAATCCTACACAGCCTGTGCTTTTTCCCATACATACATAGCTATGGTAAAGTTTATACATTTGGCACAGTAAGAGATTAATAACAATAACTAATAATAAAATTAGTGGGGTGTGGTGGTGCCTGCCTGTAGTTTCATCTACTTGGGAGGTTGAGGCAGGAGGATCACTTGAGCCAAGGAGGTAGAGACCAGCCTGGGCAACAAAGTGAGATGTTGTGTGTAAAAAATATATAAAAATTTGAAAAAGGTAAATAAACTAGAATGATTATGATAATATACTGTAATAAAAGTTATGTGAATATGGTCTTTCTGTCCTGCAAAATATCTTAACAAAAATAACTACAGTGGACCATGGGTAACTGAAACTGTGGGTGAGGAGGACTATGATATTTGGAGATAGGGTCTTTTGAGAAGTAATTAAGGTTAAGTAAGTTTATTGGGGTGGGCCCTGATCCAGTAGGACTGGTATCCTTATAACAAGAGGAGATTAGGATGCAGAGACACCCAGAGGGAGGACCATGTGAGGACACTGGGAGGAGAGGACTATCTGGTAGCCATGGAGCGAGGCCTGAGGGTGAACCAATGCTGTCTACACCTTGATCTTGGACTTCCAGATCAAGGAAAGAAATAAATGCCTGTTGTCTGAGCCACTCAGTGTGCAGTGCTGTGTTAGGCAGCTCTAGGAAATGGATAGAAGAGCTGATTAAAAATGCACATTCCTGCCACTCCATGGAACTGACTTCCTAAGTCTGCACTGGGGCCCAGAAATCTGCAGGACAGGACCCTGCTCTAAGGTTCTTAGAATCCACACTGAGAAACACTAATTCCAGTTTAGTCTCACAACAGCAAAGAAGTGAGGAGAGAAGAGAGTTTCTCAAACTTCATTTCACTATGCCCCCCAGAAGGAGCCTTTTAAGACTTTTTTTTCCTCATTGTCACCACGACCCTGCAGCTTCCACAGCACAGGTACTGTGTATCTGTTTATGTGCCAGGTTCTTCAGAGGCTGCCAGCCACTGTGATGCCTTTAGCCCCTGAGAACGAATTCTCACCCCCTGGGGAGGCATGTCATTCCCAATGAGAATGCATAAAATAGAACAAGAATTGCTCTCCACTTTTTTTGTATGCATATGTACACATATGCACATGCACACACAGATGTCCATTGAGACATAGAACATTTCATTATACAGTTCACAAGGAAAGTGCTGCTTAAAAGAATCCCAACCAGAGCACAGAGAATGGGAAACTGTTATAGGATGGAGATGTGTCAGCCATGGAATTACACCTAGCAGAATGGCTGGCTGCAGATGGAACTGCAGGGGAAACTGGTGGATTTGGGGGTCCCAGAGTTGGGCCCCGAGCTAGTCTAATGCTTCTTAGGCCCTCCATCTGTGCAGGGGACCCTATTGCTCTTCTGCAAGCTTTCTGTGAGGTTAGAATGAAGGAGCAGTGGCCTTTGCATGTGCCCTCCAGAGGTCATTACTGCAGTTGTAATTTCATCCTTACGGGGTGAGATCCAGGCTGGATTTGGGGTTGGTCACTCACTATGCATCCTGAGGCAGTGAGTTCACTATGCATCCTGGGCAGTCTGGGGTGGGAGGTGGAGCCAAGATGGCCAAATAGGAACAGCTCCGGTCTACAGCTCCCAGCGTGAGCGACGCAGAAGACGGGTGATTTCTGCATTTCCATCTGAGGTACTGGGTTCATCTCACTAGGGAGTGCCAGACAGTGGGTGCAGGACAGTGGGTGCAGCACACCGTGCGCGAGCCAAAGCAGGGCGAGGGATTGCCTCACTCAGGAAGCACAAGCGGTCAGGGAGTTCCCTTTCCTAGTCAAAGAAAGGGGTGACAGACGGCACCTGGAAAATCGGGTCACTCCCACCCTAATACTGCGCTTTTCCAACAGGCTTAACAAACGGCACACGAGGAGATTATATCCCGCACCTGGCTCAGAGGGTCCTATGCCCACGGAGTCTCGCTGATTGCTAGCACAGCAGTCTGAGATCAAACTGCAAGGCAGCAGCGAGGCTGGGGGAGGGGCACCTGCCATTGCCCAGGCTTGATTAGGTAAACAAAGCAGCCTGGAAGCTCGAACTGGGTGGAGCCCACCACAGCTCAAGGAGGCCTGCCTGCCTCTGTAGGCTCCACCTCTCGGGGCAGGGCACAGACAAACAAAAAGACAGCAGTAACCTCTGCAGACTTAAGTGTCCCTGTCTGACAGCTTTGAAGAGAGTAGTGGTTCTCCCAGCACGCAGCTGGAGATCTGAGAACGGGCAGACTGCCTCCTCAAGTGGGTCCCTGACCCCCAAGTAGCCTAACTGGGAGGCACCCCCCAGTAGGGGCAGACTGACACCTCACACGGCTGGGTACTCCTCTGGGACAAAACATCCAGAGGAACCATCAGGCAGCAACACTTGCTGTTCACCAATATCCGCTGTTCTACAGCCACCACTGTTCTGCAGCCACCTCTGCTGACACCCAAGCAAACAGGGTCTGGAGTGGACCTCTAGCAAACTCCAACAGACCTGCAGCTGAGGGTCCTGTCTGTTGGAAGGAAAACTAACAAACAGAAAGGACATCCACACCAAAAACCCATCTGTACATCACCACCATCAAAGACCAAAAGTAGATAATACCACAAAGATGGAGGAAAAACAGAGCAGAAAAACTGGAAACTCCAAAAAGCAGAGTGCCTCTCCTCCTCCAAAGGAACGCAGCTTCTCACCAGCAACGGAACAAAGCTGGACAGAGAATGACTTTGACGAGGTGAGAGAAGAAGTCTCCAGACGATCAAACTACTCTGAGCTACAGGAGGAAATTCAAAACAATGGCAAAGAAGTTAAAAACTGTGAAAAAAAATTAGATGAATGTATAACTAGAATAACCAATGCAGGGAAGTCCTTAAAAGAGCTGATGGAGCTGAAAGCCAAGGCTCGAGAACTAAGTGAAGAATGCAGAAGCCTCAGGAGCCGATGCCATCAACTGGAAGAAAGGGTATCAGTGATGGAAGATGAAATGAATGAAATGAAGCAAGAAGGGAAGTTTAGAGAAAAAAGAATAAAAAGAAACGAACAAAGCCTCCAAGAAATATGGGACTATGTGAAAAGACCAAATCTACGTCTGATTGGTGTACCTGAAAGTGATGGGGAGAATGGAACCAAGTTGGAAAACACTCTACAGGATATTATCCAGGAGAACTTCCCCAACCTAGCAAGGCAGGCCAACATTCAGATTCAGGAAATACAGAGAACGCCACAAAGATACTCCTCGAGAACAGCAACTCCAAGACACATAATTGTCAGATTCACCAAAGTTGAAATGAAGGAAAAAATGTTAAGGGCAGCCAGAGAGAAAAGTCGGGTTACCCACAAAGGGAAGCCCATCAGACTAACAGCTGATCTCTCGGCAGAAACTCTACAAGCCAGAAGAGAGTGGGGGCCACTATTCAACATTCTTAAAGAAAAGAATTTTCCACCCAGAATTTCATATCCAGCCAAACTAAGCTTCATAAGTGAAGGAGAAATAAAATCCTTTACAGACAAGCAAATGCTGAGAGATTTCGTCTTTCTTTCTTTCTTTCTTTCTTTCTTTCTTTCTTTCTTTCTTTCTTTCTTTCTTCTTTCTTTCTTTCCTTCTTTCTTCTTTCATCTGTCTGACAGGATCTGGCTCTGTCACCCAGGCTGGAGTGCAGTAGCACAATCATGGCTCACTGTAGCCTTAAACTCCTGGGCTCGAGTGATTTTCCCACCTCAGCCTCCTGAGTAGCTGGGACAACAGGCACACACCACCATGCCTGGCTAATTTCTTTATTTTTATTTTTTTGTAGAGATGGGGTCTTGCTATATTGCCCAGGGTGTCCTCAAACTCCTGGCCTCAAGCAATTTTCCCGCCTCAGCCTCCCAAAATGCTGGATGACAGCTGCAAGCCACCACAAGCAACTCTGTCATAATGCAGTCTTTATAACCAGCTGAGCACAATCTCTACTCTCAAAATAGGGCTCTGAAGTCTAGGAACAAGTCCTCAGCTCCTGAAATGACAGAGGAGGAAGTGAGTGAAGTGAATGAATGAAGGACACAGTCAATATTGAGAATAATCACAGTGATTGCAACTGTAAACCCTCCCTGACGCGGCCTTGCTCTGAATGCTACTCTGTTGGTCTTTCAGGATGGTATCAGCACTCCCAGCAGACAGAGTGGCTCAGGGCTCACACCAGGTCCCTCAGCCCACACCCATCAGACTTGGGGTTCAAACTCAGATCTGTCTGTTTTCAAGACAGAGCCCAACCAGCCTGCCTGAAATCAGCCAGTGAAGACTTAATTGAGGGATTGCTAGGAGACAGATGGTCTCACTGGGTAGATCATAATCAGGCAATGCCAGAGGGAGGATCCCCACTGGCCACCCCATTCCTACTGTGTCTGAGGACACATGGACGAAGCCTCAGCTCAGGGCTTCGTGTTAGGGTCCTGGATTTGGGGTGGGGGGGCAGGATGTGCCTTGTCGGGGCTCCCTGCTCACCACGCCATGGCTCAGCCTTGTCGCTGCTGGTGGGCCGCCTCTGCTCCTTTTCTCTTCACTCCCTCTCTTCTTCCAGTGATGCTTTGTTCTTTTCCCTTTGACGTTTCCAGAAGATGCAGATGCCTCCAGCTATTACGAGTCCCATGGCAACAAGGATCAGAGGCAGAGCTGCTTTCCATGCCGTGAACTGGGAGCTTCTGGAGAAGGTAGCTGGAGAAGATTCCCAGAAGCCAGGAATATTGGGGTAAGAGAGTTTCTGTGTTCTGAGGTCAAACTTGCTAAAGAGTTCAGTAGTCCAGGGACATAATATTTGCAAATTACTGTGAAATAGTTTCCAAAATAGTATGTATTTGCACAGCTGGTCTATGGACCGAATGTCTGTGTCCCCCAAAGGGGTTGAAATCCCAACCCCTACGGTGATGATGTTAGGAGGTGAGGCCTTTGGGAAGTGATGAGGTCATGAGGGTGGAGCCCCTGTAACGGATATGATGGGAATGGTGCCCTTATAAAGGGGAGAGCCCAGAGAGCTCCCTCACCCCTTCCACCATGTGAGGACACAGTGAGAAGGCGCTGTCTATGAACCAGGAAGTGCCCTTGCCAGACACCAAATCTGCCACGCCTTGATCTTGGACTTCCCAGCTTACAAAACTGTGGGCAATAGCTATCTCTTGTTTCTAAGCCACCTGGTCTGTGGTATTTTGTTATAGGCACACAAATGGAGTAAGACAGTTGGGTTTAGACATATGCATAGGAAGTAGATATTAGATATCTATTTGTAGATAGACAAAGGGAGAAGTGATAAAAAGAAATATCGCAATAAGGTAAAAATATGGTGAATCTGAGTAAAGGGTGCACAGACAACTTTTCTATTAATCTTGCAAAGTTTCTGTAAGTTTGACATCATTTAGAAAAGTAAAAGTGAAAGTTTTTGTGAAAAGCTAAATTTGGAAACAACCAAGATATTTTTTAGTAGGTGAATGGATCAATAAACAGTGGTCCATCCAGATCCTGGAACGTTATTCATTTCACAAAAGAAACAAGTTATCAAGGCAGGAAAAGACATGGAGGAAACCTAAATGCGTACCACAAAGTGAGGGAAGTCAAAGTGAAGGGGCTACAGAGGCACCGTCCCAACTACAGGACATTCCAGAACACCTGGAAACTATGGAGACAGTGAAAACATCAGTGGTGGCCAGGAGTTAGGGGAGATGAATGAATGAGCGGAGCACGGAGGATTAAGGGCAGTGACATTATTTTGTATGATACTATGACAGATATGTGGCATTATATATTTATCTAGAACCATGGGACACCATGCCAAGAGTGAGCCCTCATGAAAACTGCACTCTGGGTGCTGACGGCATTGTCAACGGAAGTTCATCAAACATGGTGGACGTTCCTTCTGGTGTAGGGTTTTTATGCTGGGGGAAGGTGTGTGAGGGGGTTAGGGGAAGATGGGAACTCTCTGGACTTTCTACTAAAATTTGTTGTGACCCTAAAACTGCTTTAAAAAATAAAGCCTATTTTAAAAAACCCTAAAAACTGTTGATATTAGGATGTACATTTCTTGTTCCCCCAAAGGCAAGGCTCTCCCCAGGGTCCCTGCACCCTTATCTCTGTTCCTCTTCAGTAATCAGCACCCAAACAGTGCACCTCCTGGGATGCCCCAGCCATGTGAGGACAGGGACCTGCCACCCATCCCTGCTTGCCACAAACCCCACAGCTGTCTCTTAATGTCCCCAGTGTCCAGGGCCACGGAATCCTGTGCTCAGTGATTGTGAGGACAGAACTGAATAGAGGACTCACCGGGCAGGTGGCTCTCAGCCACCTTCCTCCTTTCAGGGAGGAGGGGGCTGGAGATGGAGCAGGAGAGACCCTCCACAGCCCTGTCCCAGAGCGTCAAGCTGGATGCCACAGCCCAGAGCCTGGTGGTGGCTGAGGCTGATAGATTGGTCACAGCAGGCCTAGCCTGGCCCCTGAAGTCTCTCCGTTCCACCCAGGACTTGGGGAAACAGCCTGCTGATGTGCACTCCGCCCTGACTCCATCCTGCTGGTCTGTCACCTGGATTCTGGGCTCTCTGCCCAGCCCTGAAGGAAGAGACAGCAGCTTGAATCTTTGCAGCCATGGCTGCTTCTATTTAAAGGAAAAACAAAATCTTGAGGATTTCCAATGTATTTTGGCAATTTCACAAACTGCCTACCCTGTGTTACACACCATCCCTAACAGAGTTCCCCATTTCCCAGACAAAAGAAGGGAAGCAAAGTGGAAAAGGTCCAGGAAGATTGAATAGGCATCCTGTGTTGCAGAAGTAGAATTCATGGCACAAGATGGGACCCAGGCTTGTCTGTTTCGAAGCACAAGTTCTGAGTCACTCGGGAAACCTCCCGTATCTGAAGACTCTCTTCTCTCTCTTGGCCTTTCTGTCTCCTGTCATTATTTCTCTGTCTCTCTCTTCCTCCCACTCTCTGTTGCTTACTGTCTTTCTCATTTTCTTTTACTGTCTCTCTGTCTCTGTCTCTATCTCCCTCTCTCTGTCACTGACTCTGTCTCTTTGTCTCTTTCATTCTCTCTGTGTTTCTCTCAGTTTCTCATTCTCTCTGTCTCTCTCCATCTCTGTCTCTCCTGTCTTTCATTCTCTGTCTCTGCCTGTCCCTCCCTCTCCATCTCTCTCTTTCCCCATCTCTATAATTCTGTCATTCTTTCTTCATCTCTCTCTGTCTTTCTCTCATCTCTCTGTCTTTCTCTCCATCTCTCTTTCCACCTCTGTCTGTCTCTCCCTGCTTCTTTCTCATTCTATCTCTTCTTCTCTGTGTCTCTCTCATTCCCCCCATCTCTCTCTTTCCCTTCCCTTCACTTTCCAGTCCACTGGTGTAAGGAGGGAAAGGAAGATGAGGAAGGTGGCTCTGCCTTCACCGCTGTGCTTCCCGGGAGCAGTGCAGGCCAGCACGGCAGCTGGGAGAGTGCACTCTCACCCTACTGAAAAGCCCTCCACCTGAACACGCTGGGCCCCAAGGCCATGCCTGGAAGTAGACTGACAGCCAGCTAGCCACCAGCCTTACCTGCCACCTGCACCTGCACAGTGGCCTCGCCGAACTTTACACCATCCTTGAAGCGGCAGCAGTATGTCCTGTTGTCAAAGGTGGTGACCCTGTGACTCCTCACCATGGCCTTGCCCCTGGCCACGTGGTCACTCATGAAGGTGGTCCTTCCTCTGTACTGCCACTTTTGCTCTCCATCCATGTCCATCCCTCTCTCATGCATGTGCACAGCTAGGGAGGGCTGGCACCTGTACCACCTCAGCTCCATGTCCTCGGCACTGATATTGGGGAACAGCTGGCACTGTAACTCCACGTGTCCCCCAGCCATAGCCAGAATAGGGGCATGAGGCCCAGTGACATCAAAGTCAGCTTTCCCTGGGGGAGGCAGATCAGAAAGGGCTGGGTTAGGCCATGTGTTGGGAGGCCAGGGCACTTCCCCCCTGCCCCTCCCTCTTCTTGGAAGCTTTGGGGACCTATTGAGCCCTGAGCTGCTGGGAGATGCTTCAGCTTCCCGCCATGCTGGACACACCCCCACCTATGCCAGGGCACCTGCCTCGACTTGCACAGGAGTCTGTCCCTCAGTTTTGACAGATGCTGGCCAGTGGGAGCTGCAGGAAGACCAAGGTGACAAAGCAGATGGACAGGAAGGCCTCTGGATCGCATGTCACTGCCATTCCTGCCAGGCCGGAGCCACGCACTGTCACTGGGAGAGGAGCCACCGCCAGGAAGCTAACAGGTGCAGAGGAAAAGTGCCATGGAAGAAAAAGAAGAAAAAGGTCATTTACTCTCACTCTCAAACAAGTTATTAATGCTATAAATGGAGACACAGCAAGCCTCATGTGCTCCTGTACCCATCTCCTTGCGGGTAACACACCTCTCACCCTAGTCTGTCTGCGGAATTCCACGAGGACATCCAGGAGGGAAGGGGTTTGATTTTCTAATTGCTCATAAAGAGCTGTAGCCCAGTCTCTAGCTGGTGACTGTCATGAAACTCCAGAATGCTGGGGGAGAAAACCCAGACTCGGATTAAGCAAATTCGAGGTCAGAACGACATCAAGGGATTCCCTTAATGTCCCTTGCTTTCCTGCTGTCCCCATGGGGACTTCTACAGTCAGGGGCTGGGGGCTGGGCCCAATCCTCAGAGCTCTTCAGCTGGGATGGGCAGGCCAAGACCCTCATGAGTCTCTTGTGAGCATTTCTTGTAACCTTGGTTTAGAGAGCAGGTGTTGGTAAAAAGTTCTGTGACCTTGGGCGGTTCTACCCAGCACAGCCATCCAGGTTGGGCATTTACGTGTGTGATTAGGGAGTTGTGTGGGCACAGGCTCTTGTCCTGTTTGGTTCTTGCATTGCAGGAAGGCCCTGTGGTCCTTCTGCCCTTGGGGATGGGGAGAGGGTGGAGGAAGCAGAGACACTGAAGAGCAAACCACATCCTGACCATAGACAATGCTCACCTGGCACCGAGAGCTGCTGCAGCTTCCCTGGGAAGTCCTGGCAACTTTGGGGGAATGAATTTAGTTTCCTGCCAACTCCAGGTAGGGTGTGACCCAGACCAACCACGCTGTCTCCAAGCAGTGATGTGAAAGGCAACCTAGACATCTGGCAAAAGCCGCCAAGTCCCCCAGTTTCCAGAGATTCTTCCTTTTGTTTTTTGCAAAAATATGTAACTGTACCTTTCTGGCAGTTGCAGCAGAAAAAAAAAAAAAGGCTTCCTGAAGAGTGTGATCCCCAGTGTGGAACACCCCAGGGCTGGGGAGCAGGAGATAGAGCCCGCCGGGAGGAGACGGGTCTCAGGGTGGGACCCAGGCCAGCTGAAGGAGCTGCAAATGCAGATAAAGCCTGTGGTTATCTGGCAGCGTGCAGGCCCAGCCTAGCTGGCCCAGGTCCTTCAGGAAAGGTGTTTATGATCATGTCGCAATGTCCTAATTCCTGTATTGTCCCAGAGGGACGTTCAGGGCTCCTCTTCCCCAGCCCTTCGCTGCCCTCCGTGGCTGTGGGGTCATGGGTGTCTGTTCTCACTGGTAGCATCCCTGGCCCAGCTTAGAACCTTCATGCTGATTTCTCGCACCCAGCCGCAAGGCCTATTCCCTCCTCACCTTCTTGTTTGATGATTCAAAAGTCTGGGCCTTTTCCTGGGTGGTTTTTGTGAGAAAGGAGTCCTTGCTTTCCTAGAGGGAGGAGCTTTATCCAAACTCTGCAGACGGGCTGAGCACTCCCTGTGCCTGCGGGCGGTGAGGAAATCCAAGTGCCAGGTCCCTCCTATGTCCCTCCTTGGGGGAGCGTCTCTTTGGTCAACCGGTTGTTCCCCCTTTTATATGTCAACACGTAAGAATTATGTCGTCCTGTGATCTGCTTTTACCAGACAATGACGTGACCTAAAACTCGACTCACTTGTCCTTTTTAAAAAAATAATTGACCAGACGCGGTGGCTCACACCTGTAATCCCAGTACTTTGGTAGGCTGAGGCAGGCAGATTGCCTGAGGTCAGGAGTTCAAGACCAGTCTGGCCAACGTGGTGGAAACCCATCTGTACTAAAAATACAAAAAAATTAGCCCAGCATGGTGGCCTGTGCCTGTAATCCCAGCTACTTGGGAGGCTGAGGCAGGGGAATTGCTTGAACCAGGGAGGTGGAGGTTGCAGTGAGCCAAGATCGTGCTACTGCACTCCAGCCTGGGTGACAGAGTGAGACTCTGCCTCAAAAAAACATTAATTAATATGTTGTTAAAGACAGGGTCTCACTCTGTCACCCAGGCTGGAGTACAGTGGTGTGATCTCAGCTCACTGCATCCTTGATCTCCCAGACTCAAGCAATCCTCCCATCTCAGCCTCCCAAGTAGCTGGGACCACAGGTGCACCATCATGCCTGGCTAAATTTTTGGTATTTTTTGTAGAGATAAAGTCGTGCTATGTTGCCCAGGCTTGTCTTGAACTCCTGGGCTTAAGCAATCCTCCCACTTCGGCTTATCAAAGTACCGTGGTTACTGGCATGAGCCACTGTGCTGCATCCAGTCACACTTGTCCTGATGACTTGGGAAGAAGGACTCAGGTTTGAACAATCTAGAGTGAGCCGCTACGATGTACAGAGCACACTGTGTTGAGAGCAGATTGTGATGCCTGTTGTCGGATGAAGAGTGTCACAAGCACTGGGAGAAGCTATGGCAGAGAAAGGTGTCCTGGCGGTGTGGGCTTTCAGCCCATGGGTAGGTCACCTGACACGGTGGTCCTTCTGTGCATGAGCCCATGTGTGGCCCAGAGTCTCTCATGTGGGCAGTCGGGGCTCCTGCAGACACATTCAGCTCAACCCACCTCAGGTACAATGTTTAAAGTTCAAAGGCAAGAAGAAGACAGGAGGTCACACACTGCACAATTCCATTCATATGAAATGATCAGACAGGTAAATACAGGGACAGAAAGAAAACTGTGGTTGTTGGGGCTGAGGAGATGGGGGAGGTGGAAATGGAGATGAGGAATAACTGTTTAATATTTTGGGGGTTTTATTTAGGGTGATGAAAATATTTTGGAATTAGATAGAGGTGGTGGTTGCAAAACATTGGGAATGTACTTAATGCCACCAAATGGTATGCTTTAAAATGGTCAATTTTATATTATGTAAATTTTATCTCAATTGATAAAAAAGAAAAACATTAAAAAAAGAAAAAGCAGAAAAAAAGAACAAAAACAACAGAGTGAGAGAGAGGAGAGAGAGAGAAAACAAACAAATAACAAAAAAAAGAGCTGCATATCCACCCTCTTGTGGATGGGATTATGGTTAAAAAACAAGAAAACCCCCAAATCTCAACTTTGTTAAAAATGGGATTGTCTGGCCTTTGGTGCCCTCTGCAGGAATGGATGTCAGTGCACCAGTCCCTCTTCCCAGTTTTCTTTTTCTTCTTTTCCTCAACTTTTATTTTAAATTCAGGGGTACATGTGCAGGTTTGTTACATGGATTTATTGCATGACGCCACTGAGGTTTGGGATCTGAGTGATCCTATCACTCAGGTAGTGAGCATAGTACCCAATAAGTTAGTTTTTCAACCCTCTCCCTCTCCCTTTCTCTCTGCTCCAGTAGTCCCCAGGGTCTCTTGTTCTCATCCTTATGTCCATGCGTGCCCAACATTTAGTTCCCACTTATAAGTGAGAACATGTAGCATTTGGTTTTCTGTTCCTGTATTAATTCACTTAGGATAATTGTCTCCAGCTGCATCCATGTTGCTGCAAAGGACATAATGTCACTTTTTTATGGCTGTGTTGTGTATATGTACCACATTTCTGTATGTACATATACACATGGTGTATATGTACCACATTTTCTGTATCCAGTCCCCCAATGACAGGCACCTAGGTTGATTCCATTTCTTTGCTATTGTGAATTGTGCTGCAATAAACATATGAGTGCATGTGTCTTTTTGGTAGAATGATTTCTTTTCCTTTGGTTATGTACCCAATAATGGCATTGCTGGGTCAAATGACAGTTCTACTTTTAGTTCTTTCAGAAACCTCTGAATTGCTTTCCATGGTAGCTTAACTAATACACTCCCACATGGTGTATAAATGTTGCCTTTTTCTGTACAAATTTGCCAACATCTGTTAATTTTTTCACTTTTTAGTAATAGCCATTCTGACTGGTGTGAGATAGTGTCTCATTGTGATTTTGATCTGCATTTCTGATGATTAGTGATGTTGAGCATTTTTTCACGTTTGTTGGCTGCATATATGTCTTCTTTTGAGACGTGTCTGTTCAAGTCCTTTGCCCATTTTTAAATGGAGTTGTTTTTAGCTTGTTGAATTGTTTAAGTTCCTTATAGATTCTGGATCTTAGCCCTTTGCTGATAGTTTGTGAGTATTTCATGAGTATTTGAGTTTGTGAATATTTTCTCCTGTTCTGCAGGTTGTCTGTTTACTCCATTGATGGCTGCTTTTGCTGTGCAGAAGCCCAGTTTCTCCTAAGATCCCCTAGAAGCCAGAGAGATTTTCTGTCGGAAGGAGTCCTCTTGTATTTCCCTCCCCCTCCATCTGTTCTGGGCCTGGGAGCCAGCTTTGCTCTCTGGGCCCTGAGCAGGCCAGTTTGTGTCCTCTTTTCTCAAAGCGCCTCTGAAAACAGCTCAACTGGTGTTTTCCCTGTAGACCCTCTCTCTGTCCTATAAATGGGACCAAACCCATAGGGGCAGTCTTGGAGGACAAATGACACTCTTCCTAATCTCTCCTTCTTCTCCCTATTCCCTGCACAAACTTTCTACTTTCCACAACCCCTGGGACTGTGTGCATAGGGATTCCGGATCCTCTAAGCATTTAAAACGATATTTACCCAAGTCATGGATGATATGTCTCACCTCACTCTTGGATGGTAAATTTGCTCCCTGAGGCTTTGCAATTTCTGTCTACACAGTGTCTAGTCCAGGCCCAAGTGGTACCTTGCAGCAAGCATACCCCGCTTCTGTTTTCCTAAGGCCTCCCACTCTTTAATGCAAACCATGTATTTTTTCTCAATATTATGTAAAGTGCTCTGTAAATGTAGCTGGAAGAGCCCCCTAACAAGCAGATCCGCCAAGCAGCCCCTCCAGCATGGACATTTAAGGATTGCCTTTGTGTCTTAGACTCTGGAGATAGTGTTAGTTGAATGACTACCAGGTGGGTGCAATGAAGACTAAAAGCCACAGGCTGGCCACTCTTGAGGAGACAGGACTCAGAAGGGGCACGCAAGGATGCTGGGGCCTTCAGGATGAGACGGAAGGTTCAGCAGAAGAGAAAGATAAAAGAAAAAGAAAAAGTGAGATGGGATACAGCAAGGGAAGAAGAAGAACTAAATTAAATGAAGTAAATGAAGTAGGGTCATTTTGTACACAGATTTGACGCAGATTATTTATTCATAAAAGTCTGTGTCAGGCATTCAGGTCCTTTGGAATGCATTAGTGAATCAAATGAACAAAAGTTCATTTTGTTGATATCAGGAGTTGATATCCTTCTTTCTCTAATGCCTCCTTCTCCTTTTCTTCTTCTCCACATTCTCATCTTCTTGCTACTCTCCATCCTGCTTCTCCTACCCTCCTCCTCCCACATTTTTCTTACATTATTCTTGTATTTCTCCTTTTTCTCTCTCATTTTCCCTTCCTTTTCCTCCTCCTTTTCTGCTTCTTCTTCATTATCATGATCTGCTTTGTGGTTGTCTTTTTACGCTCTCCCTCTTCTTTATTCTTCTTTGCCATCCTCATCTTGGCTATCTTTGTCATCACCTCATTCTCCTTCCCTTATCTCCTTCTCCTTCTCCTCCTCCTCTTCTTCCTTCTTCCCCTTCCCCTTCTTCCCTCCTCCTCCTCCTTCCCCTTCCCCTTCTTTCCTCCTCCTCTTTCTCCTCCTCCTCCTCCTCTTCTGAGATTTTACCAGAGCCAAACCTCGTTGCCTAAGGGAAATACCTAATTGTATTTAACTCTAAACTGCCTGACTTAATAATGGGGGTGAGGACTGAGAAAACCCATAAAAGTCATAGCCTAAGGAGACCAAGGCTTTCTACAAATAATGGCATACGTCAGCTCAGGAAAACACTTCCATTTCCACCACAAATCTGGAAAGTATTCCAGATTTTAAAGGACATACACACATAGCTCCCCAGACAGACACAAAATCACACAGCTATGTGTGTAGCTCCCCAGACAGACAAAAAATCACACAGCTATGTGTGTTATGTCCTTTAAAATCTGGAATACTGTTATTTCATTGTATCGTCTAATTTCTGTGGTAGTGCATCCCTGGGCATGTTGAATAGAAGTGGTGAGTGCAGACATCCTTGTCTTGTTTCTGATATTAGGGGGAAGGCATTCAGTCTCTCAGCATCAAGTACTTTGTTAGTTGTGGGGTTTTTATAGATGCCTCATAGCATCTCAAGGGAGGTCCTTTCCATTCCTAGTTTATTGAGTGTTTTCATCCTGAAGGGGTGCTGAAACTTGTCAAATGCTTTTTAAAAAATATTTTCTGGACCTGGCACAGTGGCTCACACCTGTAATCCCAGCACTTTGGGAAGCCGAGGCAAGTGGATCTCTTGAGCCCAGCTTGGCCAACATGGTGAAACCCTGTCTCTATAAAAAATACAAATAATTAGCTGGGCATGGTGGCATGCACCTGCAGTCCCCACTACTCGAAAAGCTGAGGTGGGATGATCACAGTAAGCTGTGATTACACTGCTGCACTCCAGCCTGGGTAACAGAGTGAGACGCTGTCTCAAAACAAAACAAAACAAAACAAAAATATGTTCTGGATATTAATACCTTACCAGACATATTATTTCCAAGTATTTTCTACAAGTGTGTGAGTAGCATTTTTACTCTATTAAAGGTGCCCCTGAGGGACAAAAGTTTTAAATTTTTATGAGATCAAATTTGTCCTTTTTTGGTTGGTGTTGACTGGGTTTGTGGTGTCATATGCAAGAAATCATTGCAAAATCCAAAGTTATGAAACTTCTGCCCTATATGTTCTTCTAAGGGTTGTTTAGTTTTAGCACTTTCTTTCAGGTCTTTGATCCATTTTGATTTCATTTTTGTATGTGGTGTAAGGAAACTGTCTAACTTCATACTTCTACAGCCCTATTTTTTTTTCAGATACTTCCTTTTCCACTGAGTGATCCTGGCACCATCTTGAAAATCATTTTATCATATATGTGAGGGCATCCATCTTGGCTTTCTATTCTACACATTGGTGTGTGTGTCTGTCTTTGTGCCAATATCACACTGTTTTGATTACTGAAACTTTCAGTAAGTTTTGAAATCAAGCACAGTGAGACTTCCAGCTTTGTTCTGCTTTTTCAATGGTTTTGGCTAATCAGAGTTTCTTGTTATTCCATATGAATTTTAGAATGGTACTTTCTTTTTTTTTTAAGTCTTTGGGATTTTGGTAGGAATTGTATTGAATTTGTATATCATTTGGGGTAATATTAACATCTTAACAGTATTAACTCTTCCAACCCATGAACAGGGGATGTGCACATACAGGTGGGTACACCCAGACAGACACATGAGCTCAGTAATCCTCAGAGATGGCACAAAGACACCAACAGATGTTCAGAAACACACAGCCCAGGCTGCCACGGTCACTACTGCCCTTCTTACCTTCCTTAGCAACAACCACCATCTGTCCACTGTGTGTTTTACTTGCATCTCTTGTTCCCTGTTTCCTACAATGTCACCTTCAAGTGGACAGGGTTATTTGTTCTGTTTTATTCACGGTAGCCCCTACTAGAAGGTCTGTTACACAGGAGGAGATTAATACTTGGTGAATCACTTGGGCTGAAACATAGACACACACACGTGCATGCGTGCGCTTGCACACACACACACACACACACACACAGATTTTAACAAACCTCATCATAGGTCCATAGCCACTTGATTTTCATAATGTTCTCAACTGCATGCCACGTGGCAGAGAGGTGTCTCCTGGATGATAAGCCAATACCAAAAGGTGAGTTTACCTAAATGAAAATGTAGACCCACACAAAAACCTGTACAGGGATGTGTACAGCAACATTATTCATACTTTTCAAAACTTGGCAGCAACCAAGAGGAAGAGGTATAATAAATTTAACAAAAGTACAAAACTTATAGTCTGAAACCCACAAACCTTGTTGAAAGGCATTGAAGATTTAAATGTTAGATCTCAAGAGCATAGATAAGTAGGCTTAATATTAAGAAGGCAACACTACCCAAAACAATCCACAGATTTCATACAATTCCTGTCAGTTAAGTACCTTGCAGAATTTAAAAAGTCAATGCTAAAACTCATATGGGAACAAAAAGGCCTCAGAATACCACAATGCTCTTGAAAAAGACCAAAAAAGGAAGACTCACACTTCAGTTTTAAAACTTGCCTCAAAGCAACAGTAATCTAGATTGTATACTAATGGCACAAGAAAAGTCCTTTATATCAATGAAAGACAACAGAGTCCAGGAAGAGTGAGGTGAGTATAATGGCAGAATGAGCTTCTCCAAACACCTCTCCTTGCAGAGAAACATGGAAAAACAAGCAGAATGGCCAGGAATAACTTTGTCAAAATTCTTGAATACTGTCAAAGGTTTTTTTTTTTTTTATACTTTAAGTTTTAGGGTACATGTGCAAAACGTGCAGGTTAGTTACATATGTATACATGTGCCATGTTGGTGTGCTGCACCCATTAACTCGTCATTTAACATTAGATATATCTCCTAATCCTATCCCTCCCCCCTCCCCCCACCCCACAGCAGGCCCTGGTGTGTGATGTTCCCCTTCCTGTGTCCATGTGTTCTCATTGTTCAATTCCCACCTATGAGTGAGAACATGCGGTGTTTGGTTTTTTGTCCTTGCGATACTTTGCTGAGAATGATGGTTTCCAGCTTCATCCATGTCCCTACAAAGGACATGAACTCATCATTCTTTATGGCTGCATAGTATTCCATGGTGTATATGTGCCACATTTTCTTAATCCAGTCTATCATTGTTGGACATTTGGGTTGGTTCCAAGTCTTTGCTATTGTGAATAGTGCCACAATAAACATACGTGTGCATGTGTCTTTATAGCAGCATGTTTTATAATCCTTTGGGTATATACCCAGTAATGGGATGGCTGGGTAAAATGGTATTTCTGGTTCTAGATTCCTGAGGAATTGCCATACTGACTTCCACAATGGTTGAACTAGTTTACAGTCCCACCAACAGTGTAAAAGTGTTCCTATTTCTCCACATCCTCTCCAGCACCTGTTGTTTCCTGACTTTTTAATGATCGCCATTCTAACTGGTGTGAGATGATATCTCATTGTGGTTTTGATTTGCATTTCTCTGATGGCCAGTGATGATGAGCATTTTTTCATGTGTCTTTTGGCTGCATAAATGTCTTCTTTTGAGAAGCCTCTGTTCATATCCTTTGCCCACTTTTTGATGGGGTTGTTTGTTTTTTTCTTGTAAATTTGTTTGAGTTAATTGTAGATTCTGGATATTAGCCCTTTGTCAGATGAGTAGATTGCAAAAATTTTCTCCTATTCTACAGAATGGTTGCCTGTTCATTCTGATGGTAGTTTCTTTTGCTGTGCAGAAGCTCTTTAGTTTAATTAGATCCCATTTGTCAATTTTGGCTTTTGTTGCCATTGCTTTTGGTGTTTTAGACATGAAGTCCTTGCCCATGCCTATGTCCTGAATAGTATCGCCTAGGTTTTCTTCTAGGATTTTTATGGTTTTAGGTCTAACATTTAAGTCTTTAATCCATCTTGAATTAATTTTTGTATAAGGTGTAAGGAAGGGATCCAGTTTCAGCTTTCTACATATGGCTAGCCAGTTTTCCCAGCACCATTTATTAAATAGGGAATCCTTTTCCCATTTCTTGTTTTTGTCAGGTTTGTCAAAGATCAGATAGTTGTAGATATGTGGCATTATTTCTGAGGTCTCTATTCTGTTCCATTGGTCTATATCTCTGTTTTGGGACCAGTACCATGCTGTTTTGGTTACTGTAGCCTTGTAGTGTAGTTTGAAGTCAGGTAGAATGATGCCTCCAGCTTTGTTCTTTTGGCTTAGTATTGACTTGGCAATGCGGGCTCTTTTGTGGTTCCATATGAACTTAAGTAGTTTTTTCCGATTCTGTGAAGAAAGTCATTGGTAGCTTGATGGGGATGGCATTGAATCTATAAATTACTTTGGGCAGTATGGCCATTTTCATGATATTGATTCTTCCTACTCATGAGCATGGAATATTCTTCCATTTGTTTGTATCCTCTTTTATTTCATTGAGCAGTGGTTTGTAATTCTCCTTGAAGAGGTCCTTCACTTCCCTTGTAAGTTGGATTTCTAGGTATTTTATTCTCTTTGAAGCAATTGTGAATGGGAGTTCACTCATGATTTGGCTCTCTGTTTGTCTGTTACTGGTGTATAAGAATGCTTGTGATTTTTGCACATTGATTTTGTATCCTGAGACTTTGCTGAAGTTGCCTATCAGCTTAAGGAGATTTTGGGCTGAGACGATGGGGCTTTCTAGATATACAATCATGTCATCTGCAAACAGGGACAATTTGACTTCCTCTTTTCCTAATTGAATACCCTTTATTTCCTTCTCTTGCCTGATTGCCCTGGCCAGAACTTCCAACACTATGTTGAATAGGAGTGGTGAGAGAGGACATCCCTGTCTTGTGCCAGTTTTCAAAGGGAATGCTTCCAGTTTTTGCCCATTCAGTATGATATTGGCTATGGGTTTGTCATAGATAGCTCTTATTATTTTGAGATACATCCCATCAAGATCTAATTTATTGACTTTTTAGCATGAAGCATTGTTGAATTTTGTCAAAGACCTTTTCTGCATCTATTGAGATAATCATGTGGTTTTTGTCGTTGGTTCTGTTTATATGCTGGATTACATTTATTGATTTGCGTATGATGAACCAGCCTTGCATTCCAGGGATGAAACCCACTTGATCATGGTGGATAAGCTTTTTGATGTGCTGCTGGATTTGGTTTGCCAGTATTTTATTGAGGATTTTTGCATTGATGTTCATCAGGGATATTGGTCTGAAATTCTCTTTTTTTGTTGTGTCTCTGCCAGGCTTTGGTATCAGGATGATGGTGGCCTCATAAAATGAGTTAGGGAGGATTCCCTCTTTTTCTATTGATTAGAATACTTTCAAAAGGAATGGTACCAGCTCCTCCTTGTACCTCTGGTAGAATTCGGCTGTGAATCCGTCTGGTCCTGGACTTTTTTTGATTGGTAAGCTATTAATTATTGCCTCAATTTCAGAGCCTGTTATTGGTCTATTCAGAGATTCAACTTATTCCTGGTTTAGTCTTGGGAGGGTGTATGTGTCGAGGAATTTATCCATTTCTTCTAGATTTTCTAGTTTATTTGCATAGAGGTGTTTACAGTATTCTCTGATGGTAGTTTGTATTTCTGTGGGATTGGTGGTGATATCCCCTTTATCATTTTTTATTGCATCTATTTGATTCTTCTCTCTTTTCTTTATTAATCTTGCTAGCAGTCTATCAATTTTGTTGATCTTTTAAAAAAAACCAGCTTCTGGATTCATTGATTTTTGAAGGGTTTTTTGTGTCTCTATTTCCTTCAGTTCTGCTCTGATCTTAGTTATTTCTCGCCTTCTGCTAGTTTTGAATGTGTTTGCTCTTGCTTCTCTAGTTCTTTTAATTGTGATGTTAGGGTGTCAAGTTTAGATCTTTCCTGCTTTCTCTTGTGGGCATTTAGTGCTATAAATTTCCCTCTACACACTGCTTTGAATGCATCCCAGAGATTCTGGTATGTTGTGTCTTTGTTCTCATTGGTTTCAAAGAACATCTTTATTTCTGCCTTAATTTCGTTATGTACCCAGTAGTCATTCAGGAGCAGGTTGTTCAGTTTCCATGTAGTTGAGTGGTTTTGAGTGAGTTTCTTAATCCTGAGTTCTAGTTTGATTGCACTGTGGTCTGACAGACAGTTTGTTATAATTTCTGTTCTTTTACATTTGCTGAGGAGAGCTTTACTTCCAACTATGTGGTCAATTTTGGAATAGGTGTGGTGTGGTGCTGAAAAGAATGTATATTCTGTTGAATTGGGGTGGAGAGTTCTGTAGATGTCTATTAGGTTCGCTTGGTCCGGAGCTGAGTTCAATTCCTGGATATCCTTGTTAACTTTCTGTCTTGTTGATCTGTCTAATGTTGACAGTGGGGTGTTAAAATCTCCCATTATTATTGTGTGGGAGTCTAATTCTCTTTGTAGGTCTCTAAGGACTTGCTTTATGAATCTGGGTGCTCCTGTATTGGGTGCATATATATTTAGGATAGTTAGCTCTTCTTGTTGAATTGATCCCTTTACCATTATGTAATGGCCTTCTTTGTCTCTTTTGATCTTTGTTGGTTTAAAGTCTGTTTTATCGGAGACTAGGAATGCAACCCCTACCTTTTTTTGTTTTCCATTTGCTTGGTAGATCTTCCTCCATCCCTTTATTTTGAGCCTATGTGTGTCTCTGCCTGTGAGATGGGTTTCCTGAATACAGCACACTGATGGGTCTTGACTCTTTATCCAATTTGCCAGTCTGTGTCTTTTAATTGGAGCATTTAGCCCATTTACATTTAAGGTTAATATTGTTATGTGTGAATTTGATCCTGTCATTATGATGTCAGCTTGTTATTTTGCTCGTTAGCTGATGCAGTTTCTTCCTAGCCTCGATGGTCTTTACAATTTGGCATGTTTTTGCAGTGGCTGGTACCAGTTGTTCCTTTCCATGTTTAGTGCTTCCTTCAGGAGCTCTTGTAAGGCAGGCCTGGTGGTGACAAAATCTCTCAGCATTTGCTTGTCTGTAAAGGATTTTATTTCTCCTTCACTTATGAAGCTTAGTTTGGCTGGATATGAAATTCTGGGTGGAAAATTCTTTTCTTTAAGAATGTTGAATAGTGGCCCCCACTGTCTTCTGGCTTGTAGAGTTTCTGCCGAGAGATCAGCTGTTAGTCTGATGGGCTTCCCTTTGTGGGTAACCCGACCTTTCTCTCTGGCTGCCCTTAACATTTTTTCCTTCATTTCAACTTTGGTGAATCTGACAATTATGTGTCTTGGAGTTGCTGTTCTCGAGGAGTATCTTTGTGGCATTCTCTGTATTTCCTGAATCTGAATGTTGGCCTGCCTTGCTAGGTTGGGGAAGTTCTCCTGGATAATATCCTGTAGAGTGTTTTCCAACTTGGTTCCATTCTCCCCGTCACTTTCAGGTACACCAATCAGACGTAGATTTGGTCTTTTCACATAGTCCCATGTTTCTTGGAGGCTTTGTTCGTTTCTTTTTATTCTTTTTTCTCTAAACTTCTCTTCTTGCTTCATTTCATTCATTTGATCTTCCATCACTGATACCCTTTCTTCCAGTTGATCAAATTGGCTACTGAGGCTTGCGCATTCATTATGTAGTTCTCCTGCCATGGTTTTCAGCTCCATCAGGTCCTTTAAGGACTTCTCTGCATTGGTTATTCTAGTTAGCCATTCGTCTAATTTTTTTTCAAGGTTTTTAACTTCTTTGCCATTGGTTCGAACTTCCTCATTTAGGTTGGTGTGGTTTGATTGTCTGAAGCCTTCTTCTCTCACCTCATCAAAGTCATTCTCCATCCAGCTTTGTTCTGTTGCTGGTGAGGAGCTGTGTTCCTTTGGAGGAGGAGAGGCACTCTGCTTTTTAGAGTTTCCAGTTTTTCTGCTGTTTTTTCCCCATCTTTGTAGTTTTATCTACCTTTGGTCTTTGATAATGGTGACGTACAGATGGGTTTTGGTGTGGATGTCCTTTCTGTTTGTTAGTTTTCCTTCTAACAGTCAGGACCCTCAGCTGCAGGTCTGTTGGAGTTTGCCGGAGGTCCAGTCCAGACCCTGTTTGCCTGGGTATCAGCAGCAGAGGCTGCAGAACAGCGGATATTGGTGAACAGCAAGTGTTGCTGCCTGATGGTTCCTCTGGATGTTTTGTCCCAGAGGAGTACCCGGCCGTGTGAGATGTCAGTCTGCCCCTACTGGGGAGTGCCTCCCAGTTAGGCTACTTGGGGGTCAGGGACCCACTTGAGGAGGCAGTCTGTCCATTCTCAGTTCTCCAGCTGCATGCTGGGAGAATTGCTACTCTCTTCAAAGCTGTCAGACAGGGACATTTAAGTCTGCAGAGGTTTTTGCTGCCTTTTGTTTGGCTATGCCCTGCCCCCAGAGGTGGAGTGTACAGAGGCAGGCAGGCCTCCTTGAGCTGTGGTGGGCTCCACCCAGTTCGAGCTTCCAGGCTGCTTTGTTTACCTAATCAAGCCTTGGCAATGGCGGGCGCCCCTCCCCCAGCCTCACTGCCACCTTGCCGTTTGATCTCAGACTGCTGTGCTAGCAATGAGCAAGGCTCTGTGGGTGTCGGACCCTCCAAGCCAGGTGCAGGACATAATCTCCTGGTGTGCCATTTTCTAAGACCATTGGAAAAGCGCAGTATTAGGGTGGGAGTGACCCGATTTTCCAGGTGCCGTCTGTCACCCCTTTCTTTGACTAGGAAAGGGAATTCCCTGACCCCTTGCACTTCCCGGGTGAGGGGATGCCTCGCCCTGCTTTGGCTCATGCTCGGTGCGCTGCACCCACTGTTCTGCACCCACTTTCCAACACTCCCCAGTGAGATGAACCCAGTACCTCAGATGGAAATGCAGAAATCACCCATCTTCTGCGTCGCTCATGCTGGGAGCTGTGGACTGGAGCTGTTCCTATTTGGTCATCTTGGCTCCACCCCCCTCAAAACTGTCAAGGGTTTACAGGAACCAGGTAAAGAAGAATAAACAACAGTGAAAAATGGAAGGAAAGCCTGGTGGATAGTTTACTTGTCCTTGCTCCAACCTCTCCTTGGCTTGGTGCCAGTCTTTTAGACAACAACCTGAGTTCCCAGTGTGGGGCCCTGGTCACACGTTCCAGAGGGAGTGGAGATCTTATTTGCAAATTATCATGTTTCTATGTTCCAATCTATCTGGGGGCTACGTAAAGTTCTGAAACAAGGCTCTCATCTGTTTTGTCCAAGTCAGAACCCAGTCAATGTGGAAATCTGGCAGGAATTGCTTGGAAGTGTTAAGTAAGGCTGGGCATGGTGGCTCAGGCATGTAATCTCAGTACTTTGGGAGGCTGAGGTGGGTGGATTACTTGAGGTCAGGAGCTCAAGACCAGCCTGACCAACATGGCAAAACCCTGTCTCTACTAAAAGTACAAAAATTAGCCAGGCACGTTGGTACACAGGTGTAGTCCCAGCTACTTGGAAGGGTGAGGCATGAGAATTGCATGAACCCAGGAGGCAGAGGTTGTAGTGAGCTGAGATCTTGCCACTGCACTCCAGCCTAGAGGACAGAGCAAGACTCCATCTGAAAAAAAAAAAAGAACAAAGAAGATGTTAAATAAATAAAAAGTCTGCTGCTACCTGGAAGAATACATTACAATATTGTATGTATTGACATCTACAATAGACCATATATACAGCTCAGGGGGAGAAACAGGAGTGAACATTTCTTTTAGAAATTAGGGTATTCAAAAGCACCCAGGTATACTGGGAAATTGAGAAAGCCCTATGCATGCCTGGAGCCAGGGGACATTGTCTGATAAGACCTAAAGACCTAAAGAAAGCCTTATTTTCAGCACTGGCTGATCACCAGGCACAGTTCAACAGAAAGCAAAGACTGGAGCAGTTGTTGACAGCCTGGACACGTTAAAGGAATGCCCCAGCACAGAGCCAGTCACAGAAAGAGGAAGAGGCGAGATTTTGTTTCTTCTTCTTTTTTTCTTTCTTTCTTAGCTCCTGGCATTCAAGCAAATTGCTGTCAAAACACTCAATAAACACGAGCCACAGATACAGACACCAGCAAGTACATACAAGTAATACGGTCTCCGCAAAAACACTCTGGAAAAGTAACGAAATGAATGACAACTATAGCCTTCAAAAAACAAGAACAGCAAGTGCTAGAGAATGGGGAGAGTTTCACTTTCCTTAGCCCCGGGAGGGCAGCTCAGCTTTACTTTGAGAGTAGGGTAGCTTTGAGGGCCCTGATGGATGGACCACCAGCCTGGGCACAGTGGTGCTGGGGGCATGCAGCTAGGACCAGGGGCTGTCCGCTCAAGCCTGTCCCATTGTACTAAACAAGACCAAATTGTAGGTTGTGCGCTTATGTGAGGGTGAGCCCAATGTGCCCTGCGATGGATCCCGTGACACTGTTTACATGACCTATTTGTGTGGTTACATAGCCTTTTATTTAAAAGACAGAAACCCCTTTTACGAAGTTATTAAATTAATTATATGTTTAAATGTTAAAGAAAAAAAGAGCTGCAGAGTGTTTATAAAACTGTCTTTTAGAAAAAAACAGGCAAGAAGACGATTTAACCATATAAATGGAAAAGGGAAGAAAGTATAATAGAAACTTTGCTAGTTAAAAAAAAAGAAAAACAATCCCAAAAAAGTCCCTTTCTTGTAAACTTACAGAAAATTCTTTGTGGCTGTTGGAGTTTAGTTTGTACATACACAGAGTTATCAGACATTATTTATAAAACTTAGTTTAAAAAAGACAAAAAAAAAAAAAAAAAGCCAAGCTGTGAGCCAACCAGAAGGCCATGCTCTTGGATATCTTTTGCAACTGTACCAAAACTGACTTACTCCTCTGCCCTTCCTGCGTCTGTCTGTTGCCAGTGCTGTGGTGTCGTCTGTGCCTGTTGAGGTTTTGTGCAGTGGTAAAGTGCTGGTGCTTCTGGTGACCTTTGACCTGTGGGTGTCACTTCTTGTGCCTGTTTCCCATGTCCAATTTTTTGAGTTTAGTTGTGCTTTTGCTTCTGCTGCCTTGCTGGACATAAGCTGGGGTGCTGGGTGGCACCTGCTGCATCAGAGCTTGAGGAGTCTGTGCCCACCAGTAGCCACTGGTCCCTAGAAGGTGAGATGTGGGGTTGTGTCATGCCCACTCCACTGAACCTTGGCTATATCTGTGTTTGGGCTTGGGCTAACCTGGGGGCAGGGTAGGTGAAATTAGGGGTTCATTGGGGTCCCCCACACTGCTTCCACATGCACCACCTCTGTCCTTGGATGGTGGCATTGCAGGGGCCAAGGAGTCACTGTGGAGTCACCGGGGTTGGCCAGGTATCTCTATCCATAGAATGCCTGAGGTCATGCAGGTGTCTCTATCATTAGAATGCCTGGGGTCAGCCAGGAGTCTTTCCTGTTAGAATACCTAGAGTCAGCCAGGTGTCTCTATCCTTAGAATGTCTGAGGTTGCCCAGGTGTCTCTATCATTAGAATGCCTGGAGTCTGCCAGGGGTCTCTCCCGTTAGAATGCCTGGGGTCAGCCAGGTGTCTTTATCCTTAGAATGCCTGAGGTCCCCCAGGTGTCTCTAAAATCAGAAAGCCTAGGTCCAACCACTAGTCTCTCCTGTTAACATGCATGGGGCCGGCCATGTGTGTCTATCCTTAGAATGCCTGAGGCCACCAAGTTGTCTCTATCCTTAGAATGCCTGAGGTTGCCCAGGTGTCTCTATCATTAGAATGCCTGAGGTCAGCCAGGAGTCTCTCCCATTAGAATGCATGGGGTCGGCCAGCTGTCTGTATCCTTAGAATGCCTGAGGTCCCCCAGGTGTCTCTATACTAATAATGCCTGTGGTTGGCCAGGAATCTTTATCATTAGAATGCCTGGGGCCGGCCAGATGTCTGTATCCTTAGAATGCCTGAGGTCCCCCAGGTGTCTCTATAATAATAATGCCTGTGGTTGATCAGGAATCTTTATCATTAGAATGCCTGGGGTCGGCCAGGAGTCTCTCCTGTTAAAATGCCTGGGGTTGGTTAGGTGTCTCTATCCTTAGAATGCCTGAGGTTGCCCAGGTGTCTCTATGATTAAAATGCCTGGGGTCAGCCAGGAGTCTTTATCATTAGAATGCCTGGGATAGGCCAGGAGTCTCTCCTGTTGAAATGCCTGGGGTGGGCCAGATGTCTCTGTTTTTAGAATGACTAAGTTTGACCAGGTATCTCTCTCATTAGAATTCCTGAGTTCAGCCAAAAGTCTGTCTCTTTAGAATGCCTGGAATTGGCCAGGTGTCTCCATCCTTAGAATACCTGAGGTTGCCCAGGTGTCTCTATCATTAGAATGCCTGGGGTCAGCCAGAAGTCTCTATCATTAGAATGCCTGGGGTAGGCCAGAAGTCTCTCCTGTTAGAATGCCTAGGTCAGCCAGGTGTCTCTATCCTTTGAATGCCTGAGGTCACCCAGGTGTCTCTATCATTAGAATGTCTGGGGTGGGCCAGGAATCTCTATTATTAGAATGCCTGGGGTCAGCCAGGAGTCTCTCCCATTAGAATGCCTGGGGTCGGCCAGGAGTCTCTCCCGTTAGGATGCCTGGAGTCAGCCAGGTGTCTCTATCATTAGAATGCCTGTGGTTGGCAAGGAGTATCTCCCATTAGAATGCCTGGATTGGGCCAGGTGTCACTATTCTTAGAATGCCTGAGGTCACCCAGGTGTCTTTATCATTACAATGCCTGGGGCTGGCCAGGAGTATCTATCACTAGAATGCCTGTGGTTGGCCAGGAGTATCTATCACTAGAATGCCTGTGGTTGGCCAGGAATCTCTCCCATTAGAATTACTGGGGTCGGCCAGGTGTCCCTATTTTTAGAATGCCTGAGGTCACCCAGGTATCTCCATCATTAGAATGTCTGGGGATGGCCTAGAGTCTCTGGATAGAGTGCCTGGGGTCAGCCAGGTGTCTCCATCCTTAGAATGCCTGAGGCCACCCAGGTGTCTTTATAACTAGAGTGTCTTGAGTTGGCCAGCAGTCTCTATCATTACAATGCCTGGGGTTGGCTAGGAGTCTCTCCCAATAGGATGCCTGGGGTCGGCCAGGTGTCTCTACCCTTAGAATGCCTGAGGTCGCCCAGGTGTCTCTATCATTAGAATGCCTGGTGTCAGCCATGAGTCTCTACCATTACAATGCCTGGGGCCGGCCAGGTGTGTCTATCTTTAGAATGCCTGGAATCAGCCAAGAGTCTCTATCATTAGAATGCCTGGGGTCAGCCAGGAGTCTCTCCTGTTAGAATGTCTGAGGTCAACCAGGTGTCTCTATTCTTAGAATGCCTGAGGTCACGAAGCATCTCTATCAGTAGAATGCCTGAGGTCAGCCTGGAGTCTCTCTCTTCAGAATGCCTGGGGTTGGCCAGGTGTCTCTACCCTTAGAATGCCTGAGGTTGCACAGATGTCTCTATCATTAGAATGCCTGAGGTTGGACTGAAGTCTTCATCATTAGAATGCCCAGGGTTGGCCAGCTGTCTATACCCTTAGAATGCCTGATGTTGCCCAGATGTCATTACCATGACATCTTAGCCATAGAATGGCTAAGGTCAGCCGGGAGTTTCTCTCATTTGAATGCCTGGGGTTGGCCAGGTATCTCTATCCTTAAAATGCCTGAGGTCACCCAGGCGTGTCTGCCATTAGAATGCATGGGGTAGGCCAGGAATCTCAGTCATTAGAATGCCTGGGGTCAGCCAGGGGTCTATATCATTAGAATGTCTGAATTTGGCCAGGAGTCTCTCTTGTTGGAATGCCAGTTGTCTCTACCTTTAGAATGTCTGATGTCGCTGAGGTGTTTCTATCATTAGAATGCCTGGGGTTGGTCAGGAGTCTCTCCTGTTATATCATTAGATATATCATTAGGGTCTATATCATTAGAATGTCTGAATTTGGCCAGGAGTCTCTCTTGTTAGAATGCCAGTTGTCTCTATCTTTAGAATGTCTGATGTTGCCGAGGCGTTTCTATTGTTAGAATGCCTGGGGTCGGCCAGGTGTTGCCATCCTTAGAATGCCTGAGGTTGCCAGATGTCCCTATCATTAGAATGTCTGAAGTTGACCAGGAATCTCTTCAGTTAGAATGCTTGGGGTCAGCCAGGTGTCTCTATTCTTAGAATGCCGGAGGTAAGCCAGGTGTCTATATCATTAGAATGCCGGGGGTCAGCCAAAAGTATATATCATTAGAATGTCTGGGGTCGGCCAGGAGTATCTCCTGTTAGAATGCCTGGGGTCAGCTGGGCGGGGTGGCTCACGCCTGTAATCCCAGCACTTTGGGAGGTGAGGCGGGCAGATCACGAGGTCAGGAGATCGAGACCAGCCTGGCTAACACAGTGAAACCCCATCTCTGCTAAAAAAAAAATACAAAATATTGGCCAGGTGTGGTGGCTCACGCCTGTAATCCCACCACTTTGGGAGGCTGAGGCGGGCGGATCATGAGGTCAGGAGATCGAGACCATCCTGGCTAACATGGTGAATCCCCGTCTCTACTAAAAATACAAAAAAATTAGCCGGGTGTGGTGGCAGGCGCCTGTAATCCCAGTTACGTGGGAGGCTGAGGCAGGAGAATGGCATGAACCTGGGAGGTGGAGCTTGCAGTGAGCCAAGATCGCGCCATTGCACTCCAGCCTGGGCAACAGAGCAAGACTCCGTCCCAAAAACAAAACAAAACAAAACACACAAAAAAAATTACCTGGGCATGGTGGCAGCACCTGTAGTCCCAGCTACATGGGAGGCTGAGGCAGGAGAATGGCGTGAACCTGGAAGGTGGAGCTTGCAGTGAGCAGAGATGTGCCACTGCACTCCAGCCTGGGCAACAGAGCCAGATTCCATCTCAAAAAAAAAAAAAAAATGCCTGGGGTCGCCCAGGTGTCTCTATTATTGCCATGTCACAGGTCAGAAGAGATTCTCTCCCATTAGAATGCCTGGGGTCTCCCAGGTGTCTCCATCATTAGAATGCCTGGGGTCGCCCAGGTGTCTCTATCATGTGAATGCCTGGGGTCAGCCAGGAGTCTCTTTTTAGAATGCCTGGGGTTGCCCAGGTGTCTCTATCATTAATATGCCTGGGGTCACCCAAGTGACTCCATTATTAGAATGCCTAAGGCTGGCCATGGGTCTCTTCCATTAGAATGCCTGAGGTTGCCATGCTGTCTCCATCATTGGAATGCCTGAAGTCGGCCAGGAGTCTCTCCCATTAGAATGCCTGGGGCCACCCAGGTGTCTCTATCATTAGACTGTCTGAAGTTGCCCAGGTGTCTCGCTCATTAGAATGCCTGGGGTTGGCCAAATGTTTCTCCCATTGGAATGCCTAAGGTCGCCCAGGTGTCTCTACCATTAAAATGCCTGGGGTAGACCAGTAGTCTCTCCCATTAGAATACCTGGGGTCTCCCAGGTGTCTATTTTTAGAATGCCTGGGGTCTTCCAGATGTCTCTATAATTAGAATGCCTGGGGTTGGCCAGGGGTCTCCCCTGTTAGAATGACTGTAGTCGCAGAAGTGTCTCTATCATTAGAATGGTTGGATTTGTCCAGGAGTCTCTCCTATTAGAATGCTGAGGTCACCCAGGTGTCTCTATCATTAGAAAGCCTAGTGTCGATGAGGAGTGTCTCCCATTAAACTGCCTGGGGTCCCCCAGGTGTCTCTATCATTACAATGCCTGGGGTTGGACAGGAGTCTCTTTTATTAAAATGCCTGGGCTTGCCCAGGTGTCTCTATCATTAGAATGCCTGCAGGTGGCCAGGAATCTCCCCCATTAGAGAGCCTGTGGTTGCCAAAATGTCTCTATCATTAGAAATACTGGGTTCACCCAGGTGCCTCTATCATTAGAAAGCCTGGGTTGGCCAGGAGTCTGTCTCATTAGAATACTTGGGGTTGTCCAGGTGTTTCTATCATTACAATGCCTGGGGTCAGCCAGGAGTCTCTCCCATTAGAATGCCTGGGGTTGCCCAGGTGTCTCTATAATTAGAATGCCCGGGGTCATCCAGGTGTCTCTATCATTAGAATGCCTGCATTCAGACAAAAGATTTTTCCATTAGAATGCCTGAGGTTGCCCAGGTGTCTCTATCATTTAAATGCCTGGGGTCAGCCAATAGTCTCTCCCTTTAAAATGCCTGGGGTCATCCAGGAGCCTCTATTATTAGAATGTCAAGTGTTGCCCAGTTGTCTCTATTATTAGAATGCCTGTGGTCAGCCAGGGTTCTCTCTCATTAGAATATTTAGGGTCGCTAAGGTGTCTCTATCATTAGAATGCCTGGGGTCGGCCCAGAGTCTGTCTCCAATTTGAATGCCTGGGATCACCCGATGTCTCTATTATTAGAATGCCTGGAATTGGCCAGGAGTTTTTCTTATTAGAATGTCTAGGGTCTCCCAGGTGTCTCCATCATTATAATGCCTGGAGTCGGCTAGGAGTCTCTCAAATTAGAATGCATGGGGTTGCCCAGGTGTCTCTATCATTAGAATGCCTGGAATTGCCCAGGTGTCTTTTTCATTAGAATGCCTGGGGTCACCCAGTTGTCTCTATCATTAGAATGCCTGGGGTCAGCCAGGAGTCTCTCCCATTAGAATGCCTGGAGTTGCCCAGGTGTGTCTATCATTAGAATGCCTGGGGTCGCTTAGGTGTCTCTATCATTAGAATGCCTGCAGTCGGCAAGGAGTCTCTCCCAACAAAATGCCTGTGGTCGCTAAGATGTCCCTATCATTAGAATGCCTGGGGTCGGCAAGGAGTCTCTCCCATTAGAATGCCTGGGGTCACCCAGGCATCTCTATTATTAAAATTCCTGTACTCAACCAGGAGTCTCTCTCATTAGAATGCCTGAGTTCACCCAGGTGACTATCATTAGAATGCCTGGGGTCAGCCAGGAGTCTCTTCAGTTAGAATGCTTGAGGTCGGCCAGATGTCTCTGTCCTTAGAATGCCTGGCATTGGCCAGAAGCCTCCATCATTAGAATCCATGAGGCTGGCCAGGCATCTCTCCCATTAGAATGCCTGGGGATGGCCAGACATCTGTTTGGCCAAATAGGAGTCTCTCTGGTTAGAATGCCTGGGGTCACCCAGGTTTCTCTATCCTTAGAATGCCTGAGGTCACCAAGGTGTCTTATCATTAGGATGACTGAGGAGGGCCAGAAATCTCTCCCGTTAGAATGCCTGTTGTCGGCTAGGTGTCTATCGTTAGAATGCCTGAGTTTGCCCAGGTGTGTCTATAATTAGAATGCCTGTGGTTGGCCAGGAGTCTCTATCATTAGAATGCTTGGGGTCGGCCAGGAGTCTCTCCTGTTAGAATGCCTGGTGTTGGCCAGGTGTCTCTATTTTTAGAATGCCTGAGGTCGCCGAGGTGTCTCCATCCTTAGAATGACTGAGGTGGCCAAGGTGTCTCCATTATTAGAATGCCTGGGCTCAGCTATGAGTCTCTATCATTAGAATGCCTGGGGTCAAGCCAGGAGTCTCTCCCTTTAGAATGCTTGAATTCGACCAGGTGTCTCTATCCTTCCAATGCCTGAGGTCGCCAAGGTGTCTCTCTGATTAGAATGCCTGGGGTCAGCCAGGTGTCTCTCCTGTTAGAATTCCTAGGGTCAGCCAGGTGTCTTTATAGAATGCCTGAGGTTGCCCAGGTGTCTCTATCATTAGAATGCCTGAGGATTCCCAGGAGTCTCTATAATTAGAATGTCTCAGGTTGGCCAAAATTCTCTCTGGTTACAATGCCTGTGGTCGGCCAGGTTTCTCTATCCTTAGAATGCCTGAGGTCACCCATGTGTCTCTATCATTAGAATGACTGGTGTTGGCCAGGAGTCCCATTACAATGCCAGAAGTCAGCCAGGTGGCTCTATCCTTAGAATGCCTGAGGTCACACAGTTGTCTTTACCATTAGAATGCTTGGAGTTGGCCAAAAGCCTCTATCATTAGAATGCCTGGGGTCGGCCAGGAGTTTCTCCCATTAGAATGCCTGGGGGTGGGCTAGATGTCTCTGTCCTTAGAATGCAGGAGGTCGCCAAGTGTCTTTATCATTAGAATGCCTGAGGTCAGCCAGGAGTCTTTCCTGTAAGAACACCTGGGGTTGGTCACGTGTCTCTATCTTTAAAATTCCTGGGGTAGCCCAGATATCTCTATCATTAGAATGCCTGGGGTTGGCCAGGAGTCTCTCCCATAGAAAGCTGGTGGTTGCCCAGGTGTCTATCATTACAATGCCTGGAATCAGCCACGAGTATCTCCCATTAGCATGGCTGGGGTTGTCCAGGTGTCTCTACCATTAGAATGCCTGGGGTCAGCCAAGAGTCTCTCCCATTAGAATGCCTAGGGTTGAAGAGGGGTCTCTATCATTACAATGCCTGGGGTCTGCCAGGAATCTCTCCATTAGAATGCCTGGGGTCGAGAAGTTGTTACTATCATTAGAATGTCTGGGGTTGGCCAGGTGTCTCTCTGGTTAGAATGCTTGAGGTCGCCCAGCTGTCTCTATCATTACAATGCCTGGGGTTGGCCATGAGTCTCTCCAATTAGAGTGCCTGGGGTGGCCCAAGTGTTCCTATTATTATAGTGCCTGGGGTCGCTCAGGTGTTTTTATCATTAGAGTGCCTGTGGTCAGCCAGGAGTCTCTTCCATTAGAATGCCTGGGGTCGCCCAGTTGTCTCTATCATAAGAATACCAAGGGTCAGCCACGAGTCTCTCTCATTAGAATGCCTGGGGTCGCCCAGGTGTCTCTATCATTACAATGCCTGAGGTCAGCCAGGAGTCTCTCCCATTAGAATTTCTGTAGTCACCCAGGTGTCTCTGTCATTACAATGCCTGGAATCATCCACGAGTCTCTCCCATTATAATGATTGAAATCATTCCAGTGTCTCTATCATTAGAATGCCTGGGGTAACCTAAAAGTCTCTATTATTAGAATGCCTGGGTTTGGCCTGGAGTCTCTCCCATTAGAATGCTTGGGGTCTCCCACATGTCTCTTTCTGTTGGGAAAAAGCTGAGTGTTGGGAAAAAAGCTGAGGCAGGGCTTGCATGTCTGACATGATGTCCAGGGCTCACAGCATAAAACCTCTCGTGGCCTCTGGAATGAGTCTAGACTTGCTGGCTCCTTGCTTCTAGCTTAAACTAGAAGAACATGCTCCCCATTATCTCAAGTAGCAGAATATGTCCCATATGCTTCAAAGGAAATGCTAAACCATCACAGCTGTAGATCATGTGCTTGCCCTTTTGACCCCCACATTCTCATCACCCGTTTCTTTGCTTGATCACCAATAAATAGTCTGGGCTTCCAGAGCTCGGGGCCTCACAGCCTCCATACTAGCATTGGCCCCCTAGACCCACTTTCTTTCTCAAACAGTCTTTTCTCATTCCTTTGACTCTGCCGGACTTCATCACCCCCATGACCTGGTGTTGAGTCTGATCACCCCGACATCTGTCATTACAGTATCTGGGGTCGGCAAGGAGTCTCTCCTATTAGAATGTCTGTAATCCATCAGGTGTCTCTATCATTAGAATGCCTGGGGTCGCCCAGTTGTCCCTTTAATTAGAATGCCTGGGGTTGGCCTGAGGTCTCTCCCAATAGAATGCCCGGGGTTGCCCAGGTCTCTCTATCATTAGAATGCCTGGGTCAGCAGGAGTCTCTCCCATTAGAATACCTGGGGTCACCCAGGTGTCTCTATCATTAGAATACATGGGGTCAGCCAAAAATCTATTCCATTAGAATGCCTGGGCTCACTCAGGTGTCTCTATTGCTAGAATGCCTAAAGTTGGCCAGGAGTCTCCCCCATTAGAATGCCTGGGGTTGCCCAGTTGTCTCTATCATTACAATGCCTAGGATTGGCCAGGGGCATCTCCCATTAGAATGTCTGTGGTGGACCAGGTATCTCTATCATTAGAATGCCTGGGGTACGCAGTGGTCTCTATCATTAGAATGCCTGTGGTCACCCAGGTTTCTCTATCAATACAATGTCTGGGGTCTGCCTGCAGTCTCTCAAATTAGAATGCCTGGGGTCAGCCAGGAGTCTCTCCATTAGAAGGCCTGAGGTTGCCCAGCTGTCTTAATCATTAGAACGCCTATGGTCGCCCAGGTGTCTTTATTATTAGAGTGCCTGGTGTCACCCAGTTGTCTCTATCATTAGAATACCTGGGGTCACCAAGCTTTCTTTATTTTTAGAATGCCTGAGGTCGGCCAGAAATCTCTTCCATTAGAATGCCTGGGGTCACCCAGGTTTCTCTATCATTAGAATGACTGGGGTTGGCCAGGAATCTCTCCCATTAGAAAGCCTGGGATCGCTCAGTTGTCTGTATCATTAGAATGCATGAGGTCAACCAGAAGTTTCTTTCATTAGAATGCCTGGCGTTGCCCAGGTGTCTCTGTAATTAGATTGCCTGGGGTCAGGTAGGTGTCTCTCCCATTAGTATGCCACGAGCTGCTTAAGTGTATCTATCATTAGAATGCCTGGGGTCACCCATTTGTCTCTATCATTAGAATTCCTGGGGTTGGCCGAAAGTCTCTCCCATTAGAATGCATGGGGTCACCCAGGTGTCTCTATTATTAGAATGCCTGTGGTTTGTCTGGAGTTTTTCACATTATAATGCCTGAGGTTGCCCAGGTGTCTCATTAGAATTACTAAGGTTGCCCAGTATTCTCTCCCTTTAGAATGCCTAGAGTCTCGTTGGTGTCTCTATCATTAGAATGCCTGGGGTTGGCCAAGGGTCCCTCTCATTAAAATGCCTAAAGTAGCCCACTTGTCTCTACCATTATAATGCCTATGGTCAGCCAGAAGTCTCTCCCATTCGAATGCCTGAAGTCGTCCAGCTCTATCTATTATTAGAATGCCTAGGGTCGGCCAGGAGTCTCTTCCATTAGAATGCCTGCAGTCATCCAGGGGTCTCTATTATTACAATGCCTAAGGTCGCCCAGGAGTCTCTCCCATTAGATTGTCTGAGGTCACCCAGGTGTCTTTCTCATGAGAATGCCTAGGGTCAGCCGGGGGTCTCTCCCCTTAGAATGCTTGGGGTCGCCCAAATGTCTCTATAATTAGAATGCCTGGGGTTGGTTGGAGTCTCTCCCATTAGAATGCATGCTGTCACCCTGGTGTTTCTATCAGTAGAATGCCTGGGGTCTCCCAGTTGTCTCTATCATTACAATGCCTGGGGTGGGCCAGAAGTCTCTCCATTAGAATGCCTGAGATGACCAGCTGTCTCTGTCATTAGAATGCCTGGGTTTGTCCAGGAATCTCAACCATTAGAATGCCTGGGGTTGCCTGGGGTTGCCCAGGTATTAGAAAGACTAGTGTTGGCCAGGAGTCCATCTTGTTAGAATACCTGGGGTACCAAGTCGTCTCTATCATTAGAATGCATGGTATTGGTCAGGAGTCTCTCCCATTAGAATGCCTGATGTTGCACACGTGTCTCTATCATCAGAATGCCTGAAAGAGCCCAGGTTTCTATATCATTAGAATGCTAGTGGCCGGCCTAGGGTCTCTCCTATTAGAATGCCTGAGATCGGGCAGGAGTCTCTTTTATTAGAGTGCCTGGGGTCTCCCTAGTGTCTCCATCATGAGAATGCCTGGGGTCAGCCAGGAGTCCTCCCCTTACAATTCCTGGGGTCACCCATGTGTCTCTATCATTAGAATGGCTGGGGTCGGTTGGGATTCTCTCATTAAAATGCAAGGGGTCGCCCAGGTGTCCCTATTATTACAATGCCTGGGGTCAGCCAGGAGTCTCTTCCATTAGAATTCCTGGGTTCCTCCAGGTGTCTCTATTATTAGAATGTCTGGAGTTAGCCAAGAGTCTCTTCCATTACTATGCCTTGGGTCACCCACTTGTCTCTATTATTACAATTCCTTGGATCAGCCAGGAAACATTCCCATTAGAATGCCTGGGGTGGCCCAAGTGTTTCTATCATTAGAATGCCTGGATTCCACCAGGAGTCTCTCCAGTTAGAATGTGTGGGTTCGTCTAGGTGTCTCCATCATTAGAATGCCTTGTGTGGCACAGCTGTCTTTATCATTAAAATGCCTGAGGTAGTCCAGGAGTCTATCCCATTAGAATGCCATTGGCTGCCCAGGTGTCTCTATCATTAGAATACCGGAATGGGGAAGGATTCTCTCCCATTAAAATAGCTGGGTTTGCCCAGGTGTCTCTATCATTAGAATGGCTGGGGTTGCTCAGGTGTCTTTATCGTTAGAATGTCTGGGTTTGGGCAGGAGTCTCTTTCATTAGAAGGCCTGGGGTCGTCCTGGTGTCTCTATTATTAGAATTCCTGGGGTTAACCAGGAGTCTCTCCCATTAGAATGCCTGAAGTCACCAAGGTGTGTCTATCATTAGAATATCTGGGGCTGGCTGAGATTCTCTCCCAGTAGAATGCCTGGGGTTGCCCAGTTATCTCTACCATTAGAATGTCTGGGGCCGGCCAGGAGTCTTTTATATTGGAATGCCTGAGGTCGCCGACGTGTCTTTATCATTAGAAAAACTAGGGTCATCTGGAAGTTTCTGTCATTAGTATGCCTGGAATGTCCCTGGTTTCTTTATCATTACGATGCCAGGTGTCAGCCTAGAGTGTCTTTCATTAGAATGCTTGGGATCGCCCAGTTGTCTCTATCATTAGAATGCCTGTGGTCGGCCAGGAGTCTCTCCCATTAAAATGCCTGGGGTCACCAAGGTGTCTCTATCATTAGAATGCCTGGGGTTGGCCAGGAGTCTCTCCCATTAGAATGTCTAAAATCACCCAGGTATCTCTATCATTATAATGCCTGAGGTCTCCCAGGAGTCTTTTCCATTGAAATGCCTGGTGTTGCCCAGATGTCTTTATCATTACAATGCCTGGGGTCAGCCAAGATTCTCTCCCATTAGAATGCCTGGGGTCGCCCATGAGTCTCTCTCATGAGAATGCCTGAGGTTGGCCAGGAGTCTTTCCCATTACAATGCCTGGGGTTGCCCAGATTTCTCTATCATTACAATGCTTGGGGTCAGCTAGGAATCTCTCCCATTAAAATGCTTGAGGTCACCAGATGTCTCTAACATAAAAATGCCTGGGGTTAACAAGGAGTCTCTTTCATTAGATTTCCTTGGGTTGTTCAGGAGTCTCTATCATTAGATATTCTGGAGTCACCTAAGGGTCTTTATCTTTCAAATGCCTGGGGTCAACCAGGGGTATCTCCCATTAGAATGCCTGAGGCCTCCCAGGTGTCTCTGTAATTAGAATGCCCGGGGTCGCTTAGGTGTCTCTATCATAATAATGCCTGGAGTCCCACAGGTTTCTTAATAATTAGAAAGCCTGGGGTCAGCCACGAGTCTCTCCCATTAGAATATCTGTGGTCACCCAGGTGTCTATTATTTGAATGCCTGCGGTCAGCAAGGAGTCACTGCCATGATAATGCCTGGGGTCGCCAAGCTGTCTCTACCGTTAGAATGCCTGGAATCAGCCAGAAGTCTATCCAATTAGAAAGCATGTGATCTCCCAGGTGTGTCTAACTTTAGAATGCCTGGGGTCAAAAAGGTGTCTCTATCATTAGAATGTTTGAGGTCAGCCAGGAGTCTCTCCCTTTAGAATGCATGGGTTCTCCCAGATGCCTGTATTATTAAAATACCTAGGGTCAGCCAGGAGTCTCTCCCATTAGAATGTCTGAAGTCTTCAAGGTGTCTCTATCATTAGATTGCCTTAGATAGGCCCGGAGTCTCTCCCATTAGAATGCCTGGGGTAACCCGGGTGTCTCTATTATTAGAATGCATGGGGTCAAATAAGAGTCTAATAAAAATGCCTGGGGTCACTCAGGTGTCTCTAATATTAGAATGCCTGGGGTTGGCCATGAGTCTTTCCAGTAAAATATCTTGGGTCACCTAGGTATCTCTGTCATAATGCTTGAGTTTGGCCAGGAGTCTCTCCCATTAGAACGCCTGGGGTTGTCCAAGTGTCTCTATCATTTGAATGCCTGAAGTCACCCAGGTGTCTCTATCATTAGAATGTCTTGGGTTGGCCAGAAGTCTGTTCCATAAGAATGCCTGGCGTCACCCATTTGTCTCTATAATTAGAATGCCTGGGGTTGGTCAGGAGTCTCTCACATTAGAATGCCTAAAGTCGCCCGGGTGTCTCTATAATTAGAATGCCTGTGGTTGGCCATGTGTCTCTCCCATTAGAATGCCTGGAGTCTCCCAGATGTCTCTATCAATAGAATGCCAGGGGTCATCCAGGAGTCTCTCCCTTTAGAATGCCTGGGTTCACCCAACTGTCTGTATAATTAGAATGCCTGGGGTCACACAGGTGTCTCTATCACTACCATGCCTGGAGTCAACTAGGAATCTCTCCCATTAAAATGCCTGGAATCACAGAGGTGTCTCCATCATTAAAATTCCTGGGATCAGCCAGTAGTCTCTGCTATTATAATACCTGGGGTAACCGAGGTGTCACTATCATTAGAATGCCTGGGATGTGCCAGGAGTTTCTCATTTAAGAATGCTTGAAGTTGCCTAGGTGTCTCTATTATTAGAATGCCTGTGGTGAGCCAGGAGTCTCTCCCATTAGAATGTTTGGGGTTTTCCAGGTGTCTCTATTATTAGAATGTCTGGGGTTGGCCAGAAGTCTCTCCCTTTAGAATGCTTGAAGTTGCCCAGATGTCTTTAAAGTTAGAATGCCTTGGGTAGGCCAGGAGTCTCTCCCAGTAGAGTGCCTGTGGTTGCCCAGGTGTCTCTATCATTAGAATGCCTGGGGTCGGCCAGGAGTCTCTCTGTTTAGAATGACTGGGGTTGCCCAGGTGTCTCTATTATTAGAATGCCTGGGGTCAGCCACAAGTCTCTCCCAGTAGAATGCCTGGGGTTGCCCAGGTGTCTCTATAATTAGAATTACTACAGTCGGCCAGATTTTCTCCCATTAGAATTCTCAGAATCTCATAGGTGTCTCTATCATTAGAATGCTTGGGGTCACCCAAGTGTTTCTATCTTTAGAATGATGGGGTTGGCCAATGGTCTCTCCTATTAGAATGCTGGGGGTCACTCAAGTGACTATCTTTAGAATACCTGGGGTCGACCAGTTTCTCCCATTAGAATGCCTGGGGTCACCCAGGTGTCTCCATCATTAGAATGCCTAGGGTTGGCCAGGAGTCTCTTCCATTAGAATTCCAGGTGTCATACTGGTGTCTCTATCATTAGAATGCCTGGGGTCAGCCAGGGGTTTTTCTGAGTAGGATGCCCAGGTGTCTCTATCATTAGAATGCCTGAGGTAAGCCAGGAGACTCTTCAGTTAGAATGTCTGTAGTCACTGATGTGTCTCTATCATTGCAACACTTGGAGTTGACCAGGAGTTCTTCCAATTAGAATTCCTGTTGTCGCCCATGTGTCTTTATCATTACAATGCCTGGGGCCAGCCAGATGTCTTTCCAATTAGAATGCCTGAAGTCGTCCAGGTGTCTCTATGCTTATAATGCCTGGGGTCGGTCAAAAGTCTCTCCCATTAGAATGCCTGGGTTTGCCCAGCTGTTTCTATCCTTACAATGCCTAGGGTCGGCCAGGAGTCTTTCCCGTTAGAATGCCTGGGGTTGCCAAGGTTTCTCTATCATTAGAATGCCAGGGGTCAGAAAGGAGTCTCTCCCATTAGAATGCCTAAGGTCACCCAGGCATCTCTATCATTAGAATGCCTAGGGTGGCTTAGGTGTCCTATCACTAGATTTCCTGGTGTCGGAGAGGGTTATCTCCAGTTAGAATGCCTGGGGTGGCCCAGGAGTCTCTATCATTACAATGCCTGGGGCCCGCCGGGAGTCTCTCCCATTAGAATGTCTGGGGTCACAAAGGTGTCTTTATCATTACAATGCCTGGGGTCCACCAGGAGGAGTCTTTCCCATTAGAAAGCCTGGTGTCTCCCAGGTGTCTCTATCATTACAATGCCTGGGGTTCAACAGGTATCTTTATCATTAGAATGGCTTGGGTGGACCAGGAGTGTCTCCCATTAGAATGCCTGGGGTCACCCTGGAATATCTGTCATTACAAGGTTTGGAATCTGACTGCAGTGTTTCCCATTAGAATGCCTGAGGTGCCCAGGTGTTTGGTCACTAGAATGCCTGGGGTCAGCCAGAAGTCTCTTCCATTAGAAATTTGGAATTGCACAGGTATGTCTATCATTAGAAAGTCAGCGGTTGCCCAGGTGTTTCTATAATTACAATGCCTGGGGTCCACCAGGAATCTCTCCCATTAGAATGCCTGTGGTCCCCAAGGTGTCTCTATCATTAGAATGCCCAGTGTCTTTATCATTAGAATGCCTTGGGTCGGCCAGGTGTCTCTTTTATCAGAATGCTTAGTCACCCATGTGTCTTTGTCATTACAGTGCCTGGGGTCAAACATGAGTCTCTCCCATTAGAATGCCTGAGGTCGCCCAGGTGTTTCTACCATTAGAATGCCTGTGGTTGCCCAGGTGTCTCTATTATTAGAATGCCAGGGTTCAGCCAGGAGCCTCTCTCATTAGAATGTCTGTGGTCACCCAGGTGTCTATTATTAGAATGCCTGGGGTCAGCCAGGAGTCTGTCCCATTAGAATGCCTGGGTCCCCCCAGCTGTCTCTGTCATTAGAATGCCTGTGGTCGGCCAGGGGTCTCTTTCATTAGAATGCCTGTGGTCCCCCAAGTACCTCTATTTTAGAATGTCTGTTGTCTGCCAGCAGTCTCTCCCATTAGAATGCCTGGGTTCACCCAGGTGTCTCTGTCATCAGAATGCCTGTTGTTGGCCGGGTGTCTCTCCCATTAGAATGCCTAAAGTGACCCATGTGTTTCTGTAATTACAATGCCTGGGGTTGGACACAAGTCTCTCCCATTAGAATGCCTGAGGTTGCCCAGGTGTTTCTATCATTAGAATGCCTGTGGCCGCACAGGTTTCTCTATGAGTAGAATGCCTGGGGTTGATCAGGAGTCTCTCCCATTAGAATGCCTGGGGTCACCCAGGTGCCTTTATTACTACAATGCCTGGGGTCAAACATGAGCCTCTCCCATTTGCATGCCTGGGTCGACCAGGTATCTCTATTATTAGACTGGCTGGGATGTGCCAGGAATCTCTATTTTTAGAATGCCTCTTTTCGCCCAGGTGTCTCTATGAACAAAATGCCTAGGTTCAACCTGGAGTCTCTTTCAACAGAAAGCCTGGGGTTGGCCAGGAGTTTCTCCAATTAGAATGCCTTAGGTTGCCCAGTTGTCTCTGTTATTAGAATGCTTGGGGCCAGGTGTCTCTATCATGCCTGTGGTCAGACAGGAGTATCTCCAATTAGAATGCCTGGGGTCACCTAGTTGACTCTATCATTAAAATGCCTAGGGTCGCCTAGGTGACTCTATCACTAAAATGCCTAGGGTTGCCAAAATGTCTCTATCATTAGAATGCCTGTGGTCAGCCAGGAGTGTCTCCTATTAGAATGCTTGGGGTTGCCCAAATGTCATTAGAATGCCTGGGGTCAGCCAGGAGTTTCTCCCATTAGAATGTCTGAGGTCACCAAGGTGTCTAACTCTACCATTAGGAAGTCTGGGGTAGCCCAGGTGTCTCTATCATTAGAAAGCCTGAGGTTGGCCAGAAGTTTCTCCCATTAGAATGCCTGGGGTTGCCAAGGTTTTTCTAGTATTAGAATGCCTGGGGTATGCCATGAGTCTCTTTCGTTGGAATGCTTGAATTCACCCAGATCTCTCTGTCATTAGAACGCCAGGGGTCAGCCAGGGTCTGTCCCATTAGAATTCCTGTGGTCGCCCAGGTGTCTTTCTTATGAGAATGGCTGGAATTGGCCAAGAGTTTCCCTTATTAGAATGCCTGGGTCTTCCAGCTGGTTCTTCTATTAGAATGCCTGGGGTCAGCCAGAAATCTCTTTTATTAGAATTCCTGGGGTCACCCAGGTGCCTCTATCATTATAATGCCTGTGGTCGGCCAGGAGTTTCTCCCATAATAATGCCTGGGGTTGCCCAGTTGTCTCTATTATTAGAATTGCTGGGGTCTGCAAAAAGTCCCTATCATTAGAAGACTGGGGGTCCCCCCAGGTGTCTCTGTCATTAGAATGCCTGTGGTTGGCTAGTAGTCTCTCCCGTTAAAATGCCTGGGGTCGCCCAGGTGTCTGTGTCAATAGAACGACTGAGGTTGGTCAGGAGTCTCTCCCATTAGAATGCCTGGGGTCGCCCAGGTGTCTCTATTATTAGAATGCCTGGGGTCTGTCAGGAGTCTCTTTTATTACAATGCCTGGAGTCGCCAAAATGTCTTTATCATTAGAATGCCTGGAGTCGGACAGGAGTCTCTTTACAGAATGCCGGGTGTCGCCTATGTGTTTCTATCATTTGAATGCCTGGGTCGGCCAGGAGTCCCTCCCACTAGAATGCCTGGCTTGCCCAGGTGTATCTATCATTAAAATGTCTAAATTCGGGTAAAAGTCTCTCCTATTAGAATGCCTGAAATTGCCCGGGTGTCTCTATCATTAGACTGCCTGGGGTCAGCCAGGATGCTCTCTCATTAGAATGCCTGTGGTCACCCAGGTGCCTCTATCATTACATTGCCTAAAACCTGCCAGGAGTCTCTCCCTCTTGAATGCCTGGAGTTGCCCAGGTGTCTCTATCATTACAATCCCTGGGGTTGGCTAGAAGTCTCCCGCAATAAAATGCCTCAGTTTGCCCAGGTGTCTCTATCATTAGAACAGCTGGGGTCACCCAGGTTTCTCTATCATTAGAATTTCTGAAGTCAGCAAGGAGTCTCTCACATTCGAATGCCTGGGGTTGCCCAGCTGTCTGTATTATAAGAATGCCTGGGTTTACCCAGGTGTCTCTATTATTAGAATGCCTGGGATCAGCCAAAACTCTGTCCCATTAGAATGCCTGGGGTCACCCACATCTCTATCATTAGAATTTCTAAGGTTGCTATGGGTCTCTCCCATTAGAATGCCTGGGGTCAACCAGGAATCTCTCTCATTAGAATGCCTGGTGTCACCCAGCTGTCCCTATCATTAGAATGCCTGGGGTCACCCAGGAGACTATTTCATTAGAATGTCTGGAGTCACCCAGTTTTCTCTATTATTAGAATGTCTGGGGTCGGCCAGGAGTCTCCCATTACAATGCGTGGGTTCGCCTAAATGTGTCTATTATTACAATGCCTGGGGTTGGTTAGAATGCATGAGTTCACCCAGGTGTGTGTATCATTAGAATGCCCGGGGTTGCGCATTAGTCTCTGTCATTACAATGCCTGAGGACGGCCAGGAGTCTTTCTCATTAGAATGCCTGGGGCCATCCAGGTGTGTCTATTATTAGAATGCCTGGGGTGGGCCAGAAGTCTTTCCCATTAGAATGACTGGGTTCACCCAGGTGTTATTATTAGAATGTCTGGGGTCACCCAGGAATCTTTCCCATTAGAATGATTGGAGTTGCCCAGGTGTCTCTATCTTTAGAATGCCTGAGGTCGGCCAGGAGTCTTTCATAAGAATGCCTGGGGTCATCCACGTTTCTGTCTCTTGGCCATGCCTGGGGTCGGCCAGTGGTCTCTTCCATGAGAATGCCTGGGGTGGCCAAGTTGTCTTTATCATTGTAATGCCTGGGGTGGGTCGGGGTCTCTCCTGTTAGAATGTCTGAGGTCGCTCTGGTGTCTGTATCATTAGAATTGCAGGGGTCACCCAGGTGTCTCTCTCATTAGAATGCCTTGGATCAGACAGGAATCTCTTCCATTAGAATGCTTGGAATAGCCAATGTGTCTCTATCATTACAATGCCTGGGGTTGGCCAGGTGTCTCTCCCATTAGAATGCCTGAGGTCACCCAGGTGTCTCTACCATTACAATGCCTTAAGTCGCCCAGGCGTCTCTATCATTAGAATGCCTGGGGTCAGCCCGCATATTCTCTTATTAGAATGCCTGTTGTTGCCCAGGTGTCTCCATTATTAGAATGCCTAAGTTCACCATGGAGTCTTTCTTACTAGAAGTTCTGAGATTGCTCAGCTCATGTGTCTCATTATCATTATCATTATCATTATCATTATCATTATCATTATCATTAAAAGGCCTGGTGTCTGAAAGGGGTCTCTCCCATTAGAATGCTTGGGGTCACCCAGGTGTCTCTATAATTAAAATGCCTGTTGTCAGCCTAGAGTCTCTCCCATTAAGTGCCTGGGGTCTCCCAGGAATGTCTCCCATTAAAATGCCTGGGGTTGCCCAGATGACTCTATCATTAGAATGCCTGGGATTTTCCAACAGTCTCTATCATTAGAATGCCTTGGGTTGGCCAGCAGTCTCTCTTATTGGAATGCGGGTTCGCCCAGATGTCTCTATTATTAAAATGTTTGGGGCTCACCAGGAGTATCTTCCTTTAGAATGCTTTGAATCATCCAGGTTTCTCTATCATTAGAATACCTAAGGTTGGCCAGGAGTCTCAGGAGTCTCTCCCATTAGAATGCCTTGGGTCTCCCAGGTATCTATCATTACAATGCCTACAGTCGGCCAGGAGCCTCTCTTATTAGAATGCCTGGGGTCACCCGGTGTCTTTATCATGACAATGCCTGGGGTCAGCTAGAAGTCTTTATTATTAGAATGCCTGGGGTCAGCCAGGAGTCTCTCCCATTAGAATGATGGAGTACACCCAGGTTTTTCTATCATTAGAATTTTGGGGTCAGTCAGGGGTCTGTCCCATTAGAACACCTGGGGTCACCAAGGTGTCCCTATTATTACAATGCCTGGGGTCAGCCAGTAGTCTCTCCCAATAGAATGCTTGGGGTCACACAGGTGTCTCTCTTATTATAATGCCTGGTGTCGCCCAGGTATCTCTCCATTACAATACCTTAGGTCGCCCTGGTGTCTCTAACATTAGAATGTCTGGAGTAGCCCAGGTGTCTCTATCATTAGAATGCTTGGGGTGGGCCAGCAGTCTCTTTCATTAGAATGCCTAAGATCACCGTGTTGTCTCTATTATTACAATGTCTGTGGTCAGGCAGGAGTCTCTCCCTTTAGAAAGCCTGATTTCACCCAGGTGTCTGTATCATTAGAATGACTGGGGTCATCCAGGTGTCTCTATCATTAGAATGCCTTGGGTCAGCCAGGAGTCTCTCTCATTAGAATGCCTGGGGTCACCCAGCTGTCACTATCATTACAATGCCTGGGGTTGGCTGGGAGTCTCTCCCATTAGAATGCATGGCGTTGCCCAGGTGTCTTTATCATTACAATGCCTTGAGCCGGCCAGGAGTCTCTTCCATTAGAGTGCCTGGGGTTGCCCAGCTGTCTTTATCATTACAATGCCTGGGGTTGGCCAGGAGTCTCTCCCATTAGAATGGCTGTGTTTGCCCAGATATCTCTATTATTAGAATGCTTGGGGTAGGCCAGGAATCTCTTCCATTACAATGACTGAAATTGCCCAAGAGTCCTTATCATTAGAATATCTGGGGTCACTCAGGTGTCTCTATTATTAGAATGCTTGTGTTGACCAGGAGTTTTATCCATTAGAATGCATTGAGTTGCCCAGGTGTCTCTATTATTAGAATGTCTGGGGTCAGCCAAAATCTCTCGTATTAGATTGCCTGAGATCGCCCAGGTGTCTCTATCATTTCAATGCCTACAGTGGGTCAGGAGTGTCTCCCATTAGAATGCCTGAAATTGCCCAGGTGTCTCTATCATTAGAATGCCTGGTATCAGCCTGGAATCTCTCTTTTCAGAATGCCTGAGTACCCTCAGTTTTCTCTATCATTACAATGCCTGGGGATGGGCAGGGATCACTCCCATTAGAATGCCTGGGGTCACCCAGGTGTCTCTATCATTTGAATGCCTAAGGTCGCCCAGGTGTTACTAGCATTAGAATGTATTGGGTCCAACAGGAGTATCTTTCATGAGAATGTCTGGGGTTGTCCATGTGCCTCTGTCATTACAATGCTTTGGGTCGCCCAGGTGTCTCTATCATTAGAATGCCTGTTGTCGGGCAGGAGTCTCTCTCATTAGAATGCCTGGGGTCACCAGGTGTCTCCGTTATTACAATGTCTGGGGTCACCCAAGAGTTTTTCCCATTAGAATTCCTAAGGTCGCCTATGTGGGTCTATCATAGAAATTTTGGGGTCACCCAGGTGTCTCTATCATTAAAATGCCTTTAGTCAGCCAGGAGCCTCTCACATTAGAATGCCTGGGTACCCCAGGCCTCTCTATCATTAGAATGCCTGGGGTCAGCAAGGAGTCTCTCCAATTAGAATGTGTGGAGTTGCCCAGTTGACTTTATCATTACAATGCCTGAAGTCGACTTTGAGTCTCTCCCGTTAGAATGCCTGGGGTCACCCTGGTGTCTTCATTGTTAGAATGCCTGGAGTTGCCCAGGTGTCTCTGTCATTAGAATGCCTTGGGCTGCCCAAGTGTCCCTATCATTAGAATGCCTGAGTTCAGCCAAAAGTCTCTCTTATTAGAATGTCTGGGGTCACCAGAAGTCTTTATCATTACAATGCCTGCAATAAGCCAAATATCTTTCCTATTAAAAATGCCTGAGGTCACCCAGCTGTCTTTATCATTAGAATGCCTGGAGTAAACCAGGTGTCTCTATCATTACAATGCCTGCAGTCAGCCAGGAGTCTCTCCCATTAGAATGCCTGGAGTCTCCCAGGTGTCTTTATCATTAGAATGCCTGGAGTCACCTAAGTGTCTCTATCATTAGATAGCCTGAAGTCACCCAGTTGTCTTTTTCATTGCAATGCCTGGGGTCGGCCAGCTGTCTCTCCCCATTAGAATCCCTGAGTTCACCCCAGGTGTGTCTATTATCACAGTGCTTGGGGTCAGCCAGGAGTCTCTCCCATTAGAATGCCTGGATCACCCATTTGTCTCTATCATTACAATACTGGGGGTTGGCCAGCTGTCTCTCTTATTAGAATGCCTGGGGTCACTCAGGTGTGTCTATCATTACAATGCCTGGGGTCGATCAGGAGTCTTACCCATTAGAATGCCTGGATCACCTAGGTGTCCCCATCATTACAATGCCTGGGAAGGCCAGGAATCTCTCTTATTAAAATGCCTGGGGTCACCCAGCTGTCTCTATCCTGAAAATGCCTGAGGTCATCCAGGACTTTCTCCCATTAAAACTCCTGAAGTCACCCAGGTGTCTCTATCATTAGAATCCCTAAAGTAGGCCAGGAGTTTCCACCATTAGAATGCCTGAAGTTGCCCAGGTGTCTCTAACGTTAGAATGGCTGGAGTCAGCTGGGAATCTCTCCCATTATAATGTTTGTGATAGTCCAGGTATCTCTATCATTAGAATGCCTGGGGTCAAGAAAAACTTCCATTAGCATGCCTGGGGTTTCCCAAATGTCTCTATCATGAGAATGCTTTGGGTCATCCAGGAGTCTCTTCCATTAGAATGCCTGGGGTCGCCAAGGTGTTTCTATCATTAAAATACATGGGGAGGGCCCGGAGTCTCTCCCATTAGAATGCCTGGGGTCATCCAGCTGTCTTTATCATAAGAAAGTTTGGGGTCAGCCAGAAGTTTCTTTCATTATAATGTCATGGGTCGGCCAGGTCTCTGTCATTAGAATGCTTTCAGTCAGGCAGGAGTCTCTCATTAGAATGCCTGGAGTTGGCCAGGAATCTTTCCCATTAGAATGCCTGGGTTCACCCAGGTTTCTTATTTATTAGAATGCCTGGAGGTGCCCAGGTGTATTTACTATTAGAATGATTGGGGTTGCCCAGGTGTCTCTATCACTGGAATGCCTGGGGTCGGCCAGAAGTCTCTCCTGTTAGAATGCCTGTGGTTGTTCAGGTGTCTCTATCATTTCAATGCCTGCTGTTAGCCAGGAGTGTCTCCGATTAGAATGCCTGCCTTCACCCAGGTGTCTCTATCATTAGAATGCCTGGAGTCATCCAGTTGTCTCTATCATTAAGATGCCTGCAGTCAGCCAGGAGTCTGTCTTATTAGACTGCCTGGAGTCACTCAGGTGTCTCTATCATTAAAATGTTTGTAGTCACCCAGTTGTCTCTATCATTACAATGCTTGTGATCAGCCAGGCGTGTCTCCTATTAGAATGTCTGGGGTCACCCAGGTTTCTCTATTACTACAATGCCTGTGGTCGGCCAAAAGTTTCTCACATTAGATTGCCTGGGGTCATCCAAGTGTCTCTCTTATTAGTATGCCCGAAGTCGGCCTCGAGTCTCTCCCATTAGAACGCCTGGGGTCTCCCAGATGCCTCTATCATTTCAATCCCTGGGGTCTGCCAAAAGCCTCTCCCATTAGAATGCCTGGGGTTGCTGAGGTGTCTCTATCATCAGAATGCTTGTGCTCGGCAAGCAGTCTCTCTCATTAGACTGTTTTGGGTGGCTTAAATGTCTCTATCATTACAATGACTAGGGTAAGACAGGCATCTCTTTAATTAGAATGCCTGTGGACACAGATGAGTCCCCATTATTACAATGCCTAAGGTTGCCCAGGTGTCTCCATCATTACAATGCCTAGGGTTGGCAAAGAGTCTCTCCCATTAGAATGTCTGGGGTGGCCCAGATGTCTCTGTCATTAGAATGCCTGGGGTCGGCCAGGAGTCTCTCCCATTAGAATGCCTGGTGTCACCCAGGTGTCTGTATCATTAGAATGCTTGGCATTGGCCAGGAGTCTCTCCCACTAGAATGCCTGGGTTCACAAAAGTGTCTCTATCATTAGAATGCCTGGGGTTGTAGGGGTCGGGCAGACTGTCTTTCATTAGTATGCCTGGGGTCACCCAGTGTCTCTATCATTACAATGCCTGGGATGGGCTAGGAGTCTTTTCCATCGAAATACTTGGGGTGCCCTGGTGTCTATATCATTGGAATACCTGGGGTCAGCCATGAGCCTCTCCCATTAGAATGCATGGTGGCCCCGAAGTGTCTCTGTCATTTGAATGCCCAGGGTAAGCCAAAAGTCCCTTTCCCATTAGAATGCCTGTGGTATCCTGGGTTTCTCTATTATTAGAATGCCTGGGGTCAGCCATGAGCCTCTCTCATTAGAATGCGTGGTGGCCCCAAAGTGTCTCTGTCATTTGAATGCCCGGGGTAAGCCAAAAGTCTCTTTCCCATTAGAATGCCTGTGGTGTCCTGGGTTTCTCTATTATTACAATGCCTGGGGTCAGCCAGGAGTCTCTCCTATTAGAATGCCTGAGGCTGCCCAGGTGTCTCTATCATTAGAATGCCTGGGGTCAGCCAGGAGTCCCTCCCATTAGAATGCCTGAAATCGCCCAGCTATTTCTATTATGAGAATGCCTAGTGTCTCACATAAAATTCCTGTGGTCACCCAGGTGTCTCTGTCACTAGAATGCCTGGGGTTTCTAAGGTGTCTCTATCATTAGAAGGTTTGGGATCAGCCAGGAGTCTCTCCAATTAGAATCCATGGAGTCGCCCAGGTGTCTCCCATTAGAATGCCTGTGTTATTTCAGGTGTCTCTATCATTAGAATGCCTGCAGTCGGCCAGGGGTCTCTTCCATTAGAATGCATGGGTCCCCTAGCTGTCTCTATCATTAGAACGCCTGGGGTCAACCAGGACTGTCTTCCATTAAACTGCCAGGGGTGGTCCAGATGGCTCTATCATGAGAATGCTTTGAGTTTTCCAGCAGTCTCTCTCATTAGAGTGCCTGGGGTTGCCTAGGTGTCTTTATTATTGGAACAACTAGGCAGGGGCCAGAGTCTCTTCCCCTTAGGATGCCTGGAGTCGCCCAGGTGTCTCTATCATTAGACATAATATGTCTATCATTAGACATAAAATGTCTGGCGTTAGCCAGAAGTTTTTCCCATTAAAATGCCTGGGTTCTTGGAGGCGGAGGTTGCAGTGAGCCAAGATCGCGCCATTGCACTCCAGCCTGGGAGACAAGAGCGAGACTTCGGGAAAAAAAGAAAGCCTGGCTTCATCCAGGTATTTCTATCATTAAAATACCTTTGAATGGCCTGGAGTCTCTCCCATTAGAGTGCCTTGGTTGCCCAGTGTCTCTATCATTACAATTCCTGGGGTTGGCCAGGAGTTTCTCCCATTAGAATGCTTGGGGTTGCCCAGGTGTCTTTATCATTAGAATGCCTGGGGTGGTCCAGGTGTCTCTATCATTAGACTCCCTGGGGTCAGAAAAAAGTGTCTCCCATTAAAATGCCTGGGGTCACCCAGGTGTCTCTATTATTAAAATTCCTGCAATTGTCCGGGAGTCTCTCCCATTAGAATGCCTGCAGTCGCCCAGGTGTCTCTATTATTAGAATGCCTGCAGTCGCCCAGGTGTCTCTATTATTAGAATGCCTGGAGTCGCCCAGGAGTCTCTATTATTAGAATGCCTGCAGTCGCCCAGGTGTCTCTATTATTAGAATGCCTGGAGTCGCCCAGGAGTCTCTATTATTAGAATGCCTGCAGTCGCCCAGGTGTCTCTATTATTAGAATGCCTGGAGTCGCCCAGGAGTCTCTATCATTAAAATGCCTGTGGTCAGCCAGGAGTCTCTCCCATTAGAATGCCTGGGTCACCCATGTGTCTGTATCATTACAATTCATGGAGTTGGCCAAGAGTCCTTCCCATTAGAATGCCTGAGGTCACTGAGGTGTCTGCATCATTAGAATGCCTGGGGTTGCCCAGGTGTCTCTATCATTAGAATGCTTGGAGTCGCCCAGGTGTCTCTATCATTACAATGTCTGTGGTCGGCCAGGAGTCTCCCCCATTAGAATGCCTGGATTTGCCCAGGTTTATCTATCATTAGAATGCCCGGAGTCACCCAGGTGTCTCTATCATTAGAATGCCTGAAGTCGCCCAGGTGTCTCTACAATTAGAACGTCTGGGGTCGGCCAGAAGTGTCTTTCATTAGAAAGCCTGGGGTCACCCAAGTGTCTCTATCATTAGAATGCCTGGCATCGGCCAGAAGTTTCTCTCATCAAAATGCCTGTGGTCGTCAAGGTGTCTGAATCACTGGAATGACTGGCGTTGGCCAGAAGTCTCTCTTATCAGAATGCCTGGGGTCTCCCAGGTGTCTCTGTTATTGGAAGACTGGAGGTCGGCCAAGAGCCTCTCCCATTAGAATGCCTGAAGTCTCCCAGGAGTCTCTAGTATTAGAAGGTCTGACATCAGTCAGGGACCGCTCCCATTAGAATGCCTGGGGTCACACAGGTGTCTCTATCATTAGAATGGATAGAGAGCCGGAAGTCTCTCCCATTAAAATAGCTGTCCCTTCTGTCTGTCTCTTTCCCTCTCGCCTGTCTCGATCGCTGCCTCTATCCCTCCCTCGGTTTCTATCGCTCCATCCATCTCGTCCTACCTCTTCTTCAAGCCCTGTGTGTGTGTGTGTGAGCACGCGCACGCGTGCGAGAGCTCGGGTGTGTCTGTGTGTGGGGGAGTGGATTTCCTCCTGGTGGGATGTGTGTGTGTGTGTGTGTGCGCGCGCGCGCGCGTCTGCCCGCACGTGAGAGAGCACCCAGGTGTGTATTTGTGTGGGGAAGCGGATTTGCTCCTGGTGGTGGTGGGGTGTGTCTGGGTTTCTCTCAGCCCCTCACACCCAGGATCAGGCCGCCGCCTCTAGTGCCAGCCCGGGGCAAAGCAGGGCCAAACCCTGAACCGCTATAGCCCACGCCCTCTTGCCAATAGACCGGGTCTTGGTCGGGACAAGCGAACGTTGTGGGGGCGTTGTGAGAAAAACCCCCGCGAGGCTGGGCCGGCTGTTCGTCCTTGGGCCAGCCTTGACGGCTCTGGTTGGTTGGGGCAAGATGGGGCCTCGCAGGATCTTCTGAGCGGCGAGGGATCCAAAACGATACATCCGCGACAGGGCGGAGGAATGGAAGGGGTCCCAGGATCGTGGGCCCTGGGCCGTGACGCCTCGGAGCACTCCCTGTTCCGAGCGGGCCCGATGTGGCAGGATCCCGGGAGCTCGGGAGCCACGGGAAGGCCGCGGGCGAGCGGCTCGAGGGTCCACGATCCGAGCCCCGCGGCCCTGGGCGGGCGGTGACAGCTGGAATCCGGCCGGCAAGGCTGGCCGGGCACTTGGGGGAGCCAGGCTCCTCTTCTGGCGCCTAAGACCATACCACCCTGAACGCGACTGATCTCGGAAGCTAAGCAGGGACGAGCCTGGTTAGTACTTGGATGGGAGACCGCCTGAGAATACCAGGTGCTGGAGGCTTTTTTTTTTTTTTTAATGGCTTTTTCTTTACTTTTCTTCCAGACAGAGTCTCGCTCTGTCACCCAGGCTGGAGTGCAGACGCGCCATCTCGGCTCACTGCAAGTTCCGCCTCCCGGGTTCACGCCATACTCCGGCCTCAGGCTCCCGAGAAGCTGGGCCTACAGGCGCCCGCCACCACGCCCGGCTAATTTGTTCTATTTTTCCTAGAGACGGGGTTTCACCCTGTTAGCCGGGATGGTCTCGATCTCCTGACCTCGTGATCCACCCGCCTCGGCCTCCCAGAGTGCTGGGATTACAGGCGGGAGCCACCGCGCCCGCCCGGCCTGCTGTAGGCTTTTTTGGGTTTCCCGCTGCCTCCCTTCCCCCTGCAGTCGCCATGCTTCCGAACCTTCTCTGACTCTGCTCTCCCTTTATAGCACACCTATACCCCAGCGGCAGCCGGGGACATCCTACTTGGGGTCCCAGCTACTCAGGAGTTCAGAGGTGTCAGGGCCCAGGGCCCACGATCCTGGGACGCCCTCCGGTCCTCCGCCCTGTCGCGGAGGCAGCGTTTTGGATCCCTCGCCGCACAGGGGCTCCTGCGAGGCCCCCTCTTGCCCCACCCACCCAGAGCCGTCAGGGCTGGCCGAAGGCGAACAGCCGGCCCAGCCGCGCGGGGCCTTTCTCTCACAACGCCCCCACCACGGTCGCTTGTCCCGACCAAGACCCGGCCGGGGGGGCAAGAGGGCGTGGGGTGTAGCGGGTCGGGGGGTGGCCCTGTTTTGCCCCGGGCTGGCACTAGAGGCGGCGGCCTGATCTCGGGTGAGAGGGCCTGAGAGAAACCCAGACACACCCCACCGCCACCAGGAGCAAATCCACTCCCCCACACACAGACACACCCGGGCGCGCTCGCACGCGCGCGCGCGGACACACACGCACACACACACACACACAGACACACACGCACACACGCACGCGCACACGCACGCACACACACACGCGGCTTGAAGGAGAGCAAGGACGAGATGGATGGAGAGATAGAAACCGAGGGAGGGAGAGAGACAGCGATCGAGAGAGACAGGGGAGGGCGAGAGGGAAGGAGACAGACAGAGAGGCTGAGAAAGAGAGAGGCACAGAGAAAGAGAGAGAGAGAGACAGAGAGACAGAGGGAAAACGACAGAAGTAGCGCGAGGTCCAGGGGGAAACCCAGAAGAGAGAGGCGGAGGGAGCTAGAGAGCGAGAGCGATAGAGCCTTAGAGAGGAAGCGCCCGGCTCCGTTAGGCAGCGCCCTCTTGAGCAGGCCGGGATAGGGTGGAGGGGGCTTGGGCTGCGCCCAGAACACGGGGGCCAGGCGGTCCGTGCGAGAGGACCAACGGAGCGCTGAGGCGGGCGTTTTCTTGGATGAATTGCTTGCTTTGGAGGTGGGTTTCGTAGGCTCCTGCCTTTCTTGGCACCTCCCTGTGCTCTGGGTGCCTTGCGGCGGGCCCCGAGATTTGCAGAGCGCGCCCGCCCGTTTGGCGGGAGCCGTGGCACCGGGCGGGCCCGGAGGCCTGGGTCTCTGGCGAGTCCTCGGGACTGGAGTCGTCGACACGAAGCGGGGGGCATTGGGAATCCCGGGTGCACAGGGCCTGTTTTCCCGGTGGCTGGCGAAGCAATGTCCTTCCCCCGGGGTAAAGCAGCCCATGCGTTCCGGAGCCGACGTCTTGGCTGGCGTCTGTGGCACCCGCTGCCCCTGCCCGCCCCTTCCCCCGGTTTGGAAGGGTGCGACGACGGCGCCCGATGGGTGAATTGAATCGCCTGGGCGTTCCGGGAGCGGGAAGGCACCGCGAACGGCAGGGAACCCAGCGGCTGCGCCTTTGGGGTCCGGCCCCCTGCCCTCCCAGGCTGGAGCCGGGCTCCTGGCGGGGCGGCGGCGAGGCGGAAGCGGTGGGATGCTGCTGCCGGGCCGGCGTGCAGTAGGGGCGGACCCCCAGCAGGAGGACCCCGGCTGCGGCTGCGGCGGGGGTGTAGGTGGGCGGTAAAGGGGGAGCAGAGTCAGGGGAGGTTGGGGAGCATGGCGACTGTGGGGGGAAGGGAGGCAGCGGGGAAGCCACAAAAGCCTACAGCAGGCCGGGCGGGCGCGGTGGCTCGCGCCTGTAATCCCAGCACTCTGGGAGGCCGAGGCGGGTGGATCACGAGGTCAGGAGCTCCAGACCATCCCGGCTAACAGGGTGAAAGCCCGTCTCTAGGAAAAATAGAACAAAGTAGCCGGGCGTGGTGGCGGGCGCCTGTAGGCCCAGCTACTCGGGAGGCTGAGGCCGGGGAATGGCGTGAACCCGGGAGGCGGAGCTTGCAGTGAGCCGAGATGGCGCCACTGCACTCCAGCCTGGGCGACAGGGCGAGACTCCGTCTGGAAGAAAAGGAAAGAAACAGCAAAAAGCCAAAGAAAAAGCCTACAGCACCCGGTATTCCCAGGCGGTCTCCCATCCAAGTACTAACCAGGCCCGACCCTGCTTAGCTTCCGAGATCAGACGAGATCGGGCGCGTTCAGGGTGGTATGGCCGTAGACGCTGAAGGAGGCGCCTGGCTGCCCCAAGAGCCCAGCCCGGCCCGGCCGTGCCCGCCGGATTGCAGCCGACACCGCCAGCCCGGGGCCGCGGGGCTCGGATCGGGGACCCCCGAGCCGCTGGCCCGCGGCCTTCCCCCGGCTCCCGCGCTCCCGAGCTTCCACCACATCGGGCCCGCTCGGAGCAGGGAGTGCTCCGAGGCGTCAGGGCCCAGGGCCCACGATCCTGGGACGCCCTCCGGTCCTCCGCCCTGTCGCGGAGGCAGCGTTTTGGATCCCTCGCCGCACAGGGGCTCCTGCGAGGCCCCCTCTTGCCCCACCCACCCAGAGCCGTCAGGGCTGGCCGAAGGCGAACAGCCGGCCCAGCCGCGCGGGGCCTTTCTCTCACAACGCCCCCACCACGGTCGCTTGTCCCGACCAAGACCCGGCCGGGGGGCAAGAGGGCGTGGGGTGTAGCGGGTCGGGGGGTGGCCCTGTTTTGCCCCGGGCTGGCACTAGAGGCGGCGGCCTGATCTCGGGTGAGAGGGCCTGAGAGAAACCCAGACACACCCCACCGCCACCAGGAGCAAATCCACTCCCCACACACAGACACACCCGGGCGCGCTCGCACGCGCGCGCGCGGACACACACGCACACACACACACACACAGACACACACGCACACACGCACGCGCACACGCACGCACACACACACGCGGCTTGAAGGAGAGCAAGGACGAGATGGATGGAGAGATAGAAACCGAGGGAGGGAGAGAGACAGCGATCGAGAGAGACAGGGGAGGGCGAGAGGGAAGGAGACAGACAGAGAGGCTGAGAAAGAGAGAGGCACAGAGAAAGAGAGAGAGAGAGACAGAGAGACAGAGGGAAAACGACAGAAGTAGCGCGAGGTCCAGGGGGAAACCCAGAAGAGAGAGGCGGAGGGAGCTAGAGAGCGAGAGCGATAGAGCCTTAGAGAGGAAGCGCCCGGCTCCGTTAGGCAGCGCCCTCTTGAGCAGGCCGGGATAGGGTGGAGGGGGCTTGGGCTGCGCCCAGAACACGGGGGCCAGGCGGTCCGTGCGAGAGGACCAACGGAGCGCTGAGGCGGGCGTTTTCTTGGATGAATTGCTTGCTTTGGAGGTGGGTTTCGTAGGCTCCTGCCTTTCTTGGCACCTCCCTGTGCTCTGGGTGCCTTGCGGCGGGCCCCGAGATTTGCAGAGCGCGCCCGCCCGTTTGGCGGGAGCCGTGGCACCGGGCGGGCCCGGAGGCCTGGGTCTCTGGCGAGTCCTCGGGACTGGAGTCGTCGACACGAAGCGGGGGGCATTGGGAATCCCGGGTGCACAGGGCCTGTTTTCCCGGTGGCTGGCGAAGCAATGTCCTTCCCCCGGGTAAAGCAGCCCATGCGTTCCGGAGCCGACGTCTTGGCTGGCGTCTGTGGCACCCGCTGCCCCTGCCCGCCCCTTCCCCCGGTTTGGAAGGGTGCGACGACGGCGCCCGATGGGTGAATTGAATCGCCTGGGCGTTCCGGGAGCGGGAAGGCACCGCGAACGGCAGGGAACCCAGCGGCTGCGCCTTTGGGGTCCGGCCCCCTGCCCTCCCAGGCTGGAGCCGGGCTCCTGGCGGGGCGGCGGCGAGGCGGAAGCGGTGGGATGCTGCTGCCCGGCCGGCGTGCAGTAGGGGCGGACCCCCAGCAGGAGGACCCCGGCTGCGGCTGCGGCGGGGGTGTAGGTGGGCGGTAAAGGGGGAGCAGAGTCAGGGGAGGTTGGGAAGCATGGCGACTGTGGGGGGAAGGGAGGCAGCGGGGAAGCCACAAAAGCCTACAGCAGGCCGGGCGGGCGCGGTGGCTCGCGCCTGTAATCCCAGCACTCTGGGAGGCCGAGGCGGGTGGATCACGAGGTCAGGAGCTCCAGACCATCCCGGCTAACAGGGTGAAAGCCCGTCTCTAGGAAAAATAGAACAAAGTAGCCGGGCGTGGTGGCGGGCGCCTGTAGGCCCAGCTACTCGGGAGGCTGAGGCCGGGGAATGGCGTGAACCCGGGAGGCGGAGCTTGCAGTGAGCCGAGATGGCGCCACTGCACTCCAGCCTGGGCGACAGGGCGAGACTCCGTCTGGAAGAAAAGGAAAGAAACAGCAAAAAGCCAAAGAAAAAGCCTACAGCACCCGGTATTCCCAGGCGGTCTCCCATCCAAGTACTAACCAGGCCCGACCCTGCTTAGCTTCCGAGATCAGACGAGATCGGGCGCGTTCAGGGTGGTATGGCCGTAGACGCTGAAGGAGGCGCCTGGCTGCCCCAAGAGCCCAGCCCGGCCCGGCCGTGCCCGCCGGATTGCAGCCGACACCGCCAGCCCGGGGCCGCGGGGCTCGGATCGGGGACCCCCGAGCCGCTGGCCCGCGGCCTTCCCCCGGCTCCCGCGCTCCCGAGCTTCCACCACATCGGGCCCGCTCGGAGCAGGGAGTGCTCCGAGGCGTCAGGGCCCAGGGCCCACGATCCTGGGACGCCCTCCGGTCCTCCGCCCTGTCGCGGAGGCAGCGTTTTGGATCCCTCGCCGCACAGGGGCTCCTGCGAGGCCCCCTCTTGCCCCACCCACCCAGAGCCGTCAGGGCTGGCCGAAGGCGAACAGCCGGCCCAGCCGCGCGGGGCCTTTCTCTCACAACGCCCCCACCACGGTCGCTTGTCCCGACCAAGACCCGGCCGGGGGGGCAAGAGGGCGTGGGGTGTAGCGGGTCGGGGGGTGGCCCTGTTTTGCCCCGGGCTGGCACTAGAGGCGGCGGCCTGATCTCGGGTGAGAGGGCCTGAGAGAAACCCAGACACACCCCACCGCCACCAGGAGCAAATCCACTCCCCCACACACAGACACACCCGGGCGCGCTCGCACGCGCGCGCGCGGACACACACGCACACACACACACACACAGACACACACGCACACACGCACGCGCACACGCACGCACACACACACGCGGCTTGAAGGAGAGCAAGGACGAGATGGATGGAGAGATAGAAACCGAGGGAGGGAGAGAGACAGCGATCGAGAGAGACAGGGGAGGGCGAGAGGGAAGGAGACAGACAGAGAGGCTGAGAAAGAGAGAGGCACAGAGAAAGAGAGAGAGAGAGACAGAGAGACAGAGGGAAAACGACAGAAGTAGCGCGAGGTCCAGGGGGAAACCCAGAAGAGAGAGGCGGAGGGAGCTAGAGAGCGAGAGCGATAGAGCCTTAGAGAGGAAGCGCCCGGCTCCGTTAGGCAGCGCCCTCTTGAGCAGGCCGGGATAGGGTGGAGGGGGCTTGGGCTGCGCCCAGAACACGGGGGCCAGGCGGTCCGTGCGAGAGGACCAACGGAGCGCTGAGGCGGGCGTTTTCTTGGATGAATTGCTTGCTTTGGAGGTGGGTTTCGTAGGCTCCTGCCTTTCTTGGCACCTCCCTGTGCTCTGGGTGCCTTGCGGCGGGCCCCGAGATTTGCAGAGCGCGCCCGCCCGTTTGGCGGGAGCCGTGGCACCGGGCGGGCCCGGAGGCCTGGGTCTCTGGCGAGTCCTCGGGACTGGAGTCGTCGACACGAAGCGGGGGGCATTGGGAATCCCGGGTGCACAGGGCCTGTTTTCCCGGTGGCTGGCGAAGCAATGTCCTTCCCCCGGGTAAAGCAGCCCATGCGTTCCGGAGCCGACGTCTTGGCTGGCGTCTGTGGCACCCGCTGCCCCTGCCCGCCCCTTCCCCCGGTTTGGAAGGGTGCGACGACGGCGCCCGATGGGTGAATTGAATCGCCTGGGCGTTCCGGGAGCGGGAAGGCACCGCGAACGGCAGGGAACCCAGCGGCTGCGCCTTTGGGGTCCGGCCCCCTGCCCTCCCAGGCTGGAGCCGGGCTCCTGGCGGGGCGGCGGCGAGGCGGAAGCGGTGGGATGCTGCTGCCCGGCCGGCGTGCAGTAGGGGCGGACCCCCAGCAGGAGGACCCCGGCTGCGGCTGCGGCGGGGGTGTAGGTGGGCGGTAAAGGCGGAGCAGAGTCAGGGGAGGTTGGGAAGCATGGCGACTGTGGGGGGAAGGGAGGCAGCGGGGAAGCCACAAAAGCCTACAGCAGGCCGGGCGGGCGCGGTGGCTCGCGCCTGTAATCCCAGCACTCTGGGAGGCCGAGGCGGGTGGATCACGAGGTCAGGAGCTCCAGACCATCCCGGCTAACAGGGTGAAAGCCCGTCTCTAGGAAAAATAGAACAAAGTAGCCGGGCGTGGTGGCGGGCGCCTGTAGGCCCAGCTACTCGGGAGGCTGAGGCCGGGGAATGGCGTGAACCCGGGAGGCGGAGCTTGCAGTGAGCCGAGATGGCGCCACTGCACTCCAGCCTGGGCGACAGGGCGAGACTCCGTCTGGAAGAAAAGGAAAGAAACAGCAAAAAGCCAAAGAAAAAGCCTACAGCACCCGGTATTCCCAGGCGGTCTCCCATCCAAGTACTAACCAGGCCCGACCCTGCTTAGCTTCCGAGATCAGACGAGATCGGGCGCGTTCAGGGTGGTATGGCCGTAGACGCTGAAGGAGGCGCCTGGCTGCCCCAAGAGCCCAGCCCGGCCCGGCCGTGCCCGCCGGATTGCAGCCGACACCGCCAGCCCGGGGCCGCGGGGCTCGGATCGGGGACCCCCGAGCCGCTGGCCCGCGGCCTTCCCCCGGCTCCCGCGCTCCCGAGCTTCCACCACATCGGGCCCGCTCGGAGCAGGGAGTGCTCCGAGGCGTCAGGGCCCAGGGCCCACGATCCTGGGACGCCCTCCGGTCCTCCGCCCTGTCGCGGAGGCAGCGTTTTGGATCCCTCGCCGCACAGGGGCTCCTGCGAGGCCCCCTCTTGCCCCACCCACCCAGAGCCGTCAGGGCTGGCCGAAGGCGAACAGCCGGCCCAGCCGCGCGGGGCCTTTCTCTCACAACGCCCCCACCACGGTCGCTTGTCCCGACCAAGACCCGGCCGGGGGGCAAGAGGGCGTGGGGTGTAGCGGGTCGGGGGTGGCCCTGTTTTGCCCCGGGCTGGCACTAGAGGCGGCGGCCTGATCTCGGGTGAGAGGGCCTGAGAGAAACCCAGACACACCCCACCGCCACCAGGAGCAAATCCACTCCCCCACACACAGACACACCCGGGCGCGCTCGCACGCGCGCGCGCGGACACACACGCACACACACACACACACAGACACACACGCACACACGCACGCGCACACGCACGCACACACACACGCGGCTTGAAGGAGAGCAAGGACGAGATGGATGGAGAGATAGAAACCGAGGGAGGGAGAGAGACAGCGATCGAGAGAGACAGGGGAGGGCGAGAGGGAAGGAGACAGACAGAGAGGCTGAGAAAGAGAGAGGCACAGAGAAAGAGAGAGAGAGAGACAGAGAGACAGAGGGAAAACGACAGAAGTAGCGCGAGGTCCAGGGGGAAACCCAGAAGAGAGAGGCGGAGGGAGCTAGAGAGCGAGAGCGATAGAGCCTTAGAGAGGAAGCGCCCGGCTCCGTTAGGCAGCGCCCTCTTGAGCAGGCCGGGATAGGGTGGAGGGGGCTTGGGCTGCGCCCAGAACACGGGGGCCAGGCGGTCCGTGCGAGAGGACCAACGGAGCGCTGAGGCGGGCGTTTTCTTGGATGAATTGCTTGCTTTGGAGGTGGGTTTCGTAGGCTCCTGCCTTTCTTGGCACCTCCCTGTGCTCTGGGTGCCTTGCGGCGGGCCCCGAGATTTGCAGAGCGCGCCCGCCCGTTTGGCGGGAGCCGTGGCACCGGGCGGGCCCGGAGGCCTGGGTCTCTGGCGAGTCCTCGGGACTGGAGTCGTCGACACGAAGCGGGGGGCATTGGGAATCCCGGGTGCACAGGGCCTGTTTTCCCGGTGGCTGGCGAAGCAATGTCCTTCCCCCGGGTAAAGCAGCCCATGCGTTCCGGAGCCGACGTCTTGGCTGGCGTCTGTGGCACCCGCTGCCCCTGCCCGCCCCTTCCCCCGGTTTGGAAGGGTGCGACGACGGCGCCCGATGGGTGAATTGAATCGCCTGGGCGTTCCGGGAGCGGGAAGGCACCGCGAACGGCAGGGAACCCAGCGGCTGCGCCTTTGGGGTCCGGCCCCCTGCCCTCCCAGGCTGGAGCCGGGCTCCTGGCGGGGCGGCGGCGAGGCGGAAGCGGTGGGATGCTGCTGCCCGGCCGGCGTGCAGTAGGGGCGGACCCCCAGCAGGAGGACCCCGGCTGCGGCTGCGGCGGGGGTGTAGGTGGGCGGTAAAGGGGGAGCAGAGTCAGGGGAGGTTGGGAAGCATGGCGACTGTGGGGGGAAGGGAGGCAGCGGGGAAGCCACAAAAGCCTACAGCAGGCCGGGCGGGCGCGGTGGCTCGCGCCTGTAATCCCAGCACTCTGGGAGGCCGAGGCGGGTGGATCACGAGGTCAGGAGCTCCAGACCATCCCGGCTAACAGGGTGAAAGCCCGTCTCTAGGAAAAATAGAACAAAGTAGCCGGGCGTGGTGGCGGGCGCCTGTAGGCCCAGCTACTCGGGAGGCTGAGGCCGGGGAATGGCGTGAACCCGGGAGGCGGAGCTTGCAGTGAGCCGAGATGGCGCCACTGCACTCCAGCCTGGGCGACAGGGCGAGACTCCGTCTGGAAGAAAAGGAAAGAAACAGCAAAAAGCCAAAGAAAAAGCCTACAGCACCCGGTATTCCCAGGCGGTCTCCCATCCAAGTACTAACCAGGCCCGACCCTGCTTAGCTTCCGAGATCAGACGAGATCGGGCGCGTTCAGGGTGGTATGGCCGTAGACGCTGAAGGAGGCGCCTGGCTGCCCCAAGAGCCCAGCCCGGCCCGGCCGTGCCCGCCGGATTGCAGCCGACACCGCCAGCCCGGGGCCGCGGGGCTCGGATCGGGGACCCCCGAGCCGCTGGCCCGCGGCCTTCCCCCGGCTCCCGCGCTCCCGAGCTTCCACCACATCGGGCCCGCTCGGAGCAGGGAGTGCTCCGAGGCGTCAGGGCCCAGGGCCCACGATCCTGGGACGCCCTCCGGTCCTCCGCCCTGTCGCGGAGGCAGCGTTTTGGATCCCTCGCCGCACAGGGGCTCCTGCGAGGCCCCCTCTTGCCCCACCCACCCAGAGCCGTCAGGGCTGGCCGAAGGCGAACAGCCGGCCCAGCCGCGCGGGGCCTTTCTCTCACAACGCCCCCACCACGGTCGCTTGTCCCGACCAAGACCCGGCCGGGGGGGCAAGAGGGCGTGGGGTGTAGCGGGTCGGGGGGTGGCCCTGTTTTGCCCCGGGCTGGCACTAGAGGCGGCGGCCTGATCTCGGGTGAGAGGGCCTGAGAGAAACCCAGACACACCCCACCGCCACCAGGAGCAAATCCACTCCCCCACACACAGACACACCCGGGCGCGCTCGCACGCGCGCGCGCGGACACACACACACACACACACACACAGACACACACGCACACACGCACGCGCACACGCACGCACACACACACGCGGCTTGAAGGAGAGCAAGGACGAGATGGATGGAGAGATAGAAACCGAGGGAGGGAGAGAGACAGCGATCGAGAGAGACAGGGGAGGGCGAGAGGGAAGGAGACAGACAGAGAGGCTGAGAAAGAGAGAGGCACAGAGAAAGAGAGAGAGAGAGACAGAGAGACAGAGGGAAAACGACAGAAGTAGCGCGAGGTCCAGGGGGAAACCCAGAAGAGAGAGGCGGAGGGAGCTAGAGAGCGAGAGCGATAGAGCCTTAGAGAGGAAGCGCCCGGCTCCGTTAGGCAGCGCCCTCTTGAGCAGGCCGGGATAGGGTGGAGGGGGCTTGGGCTGCGCCCAGAACACGGGGGCCAGGCGGTCCGTGCGAGAGGACCAACGGAGCGCTGAGGCGGGCGTTTTCTTGGATGAATTGCTTGCTTTGGAGGTGGGTTTCGTAGGCTCCTGCCTTTCTTGGCACCTCCCTGTGCTCTGGGTGCCTTGCGGCGGGCCCCGAGATTTGCAGAGCGCGCCCGCCCGTTTGGCGGGAGCCGTGGCACCGGGCGGGCCCGGAGGCCTGGGTCTCTGGCGAGTCCTCGGGACTGGAGTCGTCGACACGAAGCGGGGGGCATTGGGAATCCCGGGTGCACAGGGCCTGTTTTCCCGGTGGCTGGCGAAGCAATGTCCTTCCCCCGGGTAAAGCAGCCCATGCGTTCCGGAGCCGACGTCTTGGCTGGCGTCTGTGGCACCCGCTGCCCCTGCCCGCCCCTTCCCCCGGTTTGGAAGGGTGCGACGACGGCGCCCGATGGGTGAATTGAATCGCCTGGGCGTTCCGGGAGCGGGAAGGCACCGCGAACGGCAGGGAACCCAGCGGCTGCGCCTTTGGGGTCCGGCCCCCTGCCCTCCCAGGCTGGAGCCGGGCTCCTGGCGGGGCGGCGGCGAGGCGGAAGCGGTGGGATGCTGCTGCCCGGCCGGCGTGCAGTAGGGGCGGACCCCCAGCAGGAGGACCCCGGCTGCGGCTGCGGCGGGGGTGTAGGTGGGCGGTAAAGGCGGAGCAGAGTCAGGGGAGGTTGGGAAGCATGGCGACTGTGGGGGGAAGGGAGGCAGCGGGGAAGCCACAAAAGCCTACAGCAGGCCGGGCGGGCGCGGTGGCTCGCGCCTGTAATCCCAGCACTCTGGGAGGCCGAGGCGGGTGGATCACGAGGTCAGGAGCTCCAGACCATCCCGGCTAACAGGGTGAAAGCCCGTCTCTAGGAAAAATAGAACAAAGTAGCCGGGCGTGGTGGCGGGCGCCTGTAGGCCCAGCTACTCGGGAGGCTGAGGCCGGGGAATGGCGTGAACCCGGGAGGCGGAGCTTGCAGTGAGCCGAGATGGCGCCACTGCACTCCAGCCTGGGCGACAGGGCGAGACTCCGTCTGGAAGAAAAGGAAAGAAACAGCAAAAAGCCAAAGAAAAAGCCTACAGCACCCGGTATTCCCAGGCGGTCTCCCATCCAAGTACTAACCAGGCCCGACCCTGCTTAGCTTCCGAGATCAGACGAGATCGGGCGCGTTCAGGGTGGTATGGCCGTAGACGCTGAAGGAGGCGCCTGGCTGCCCCAAGAGCCCAGCCCGGCCCGGCCGTGCCCGCCGGATTGCAGCCGACACCGCCAGCCCGGGGCCGCGGGGCTCGGATCGGGGACCCCCGAGCCGCTGGCCCGCGGCCTTCCCCCGGCTCCCGCGCTCCCGAGCTTCCACCACATCGGGCCCGCTCGGAGCAGGGAGTGCTCCGAGGCGTCAGGGCCCAGGGCCCACGATCCTGGGACGCCCTCCGGTCCTCCGCCCTGTCGCGGAGGCAGCGTTTTGGATCCCTCGCCGCACAGGGGCTCCTGCGAGGCCCCCTCTTGCCCCACCCACCCAGAGCCGTCAGGGCTGGCCGAAGGCGAACAGCCGGCCCAGCCGCGCGGGGCCTTTCTCTCACAACGCCCCCACCACGGTCGCTTGTCCCGACCAAGACCCGGCCGGGGGGGCAAGAGGGCGTGGGGTGTAGCGGGTCGGGGGGTGGCCCTGTTTTGCCCCGGGCTGGCACTAGAGGCGGCGGCCTGATCTCGGGTGAGAGGGCCTGAGAGAAACCCAGACACACCCCACCGCCACCAGGAGCAAATCCACTCCCCCACACACAGACACACCCGGGCGCGCGCTCGCACGCGCGCGCGCGGACACACACGCACACACACACACACACAGACACACACGCACACACGCACGCGCACACGCACGCACACACACACACGCGGCTTGAAGGAGAGCAAGGACGAGATGGATGGAGAGATAGAAACCGAGGGAGGGAGAGAGACAGCGATCGAGAGAGACAGGGGAGGGCGAGAGGGAAGGAGACAGACAGAGAGGCTGAGAAAGAGAGAGGCACAGAGAAAGAGAGAGAGAGAGAGACAGAGAGACAGAGGGAAAACGACAGAAGTAGCGCGAGGTCCAGGGGGAAACCCAGAAGAGAGAGGCGGAGGGAGCTAGAGAGCGAGAGCGATAGAGCCTTAGAGAGGAAGCGCCCGGCTCCGTTAGGCAGCGCCCTCTTGAGCAGGCCGGGATAGGGTGGAGGGGGCTTGGGCTGCGCCCAGAACACGGGGGGCCAGGCGGTCCGTGCGAGAGGACCAACGGAGCGCTGAGGCGGGCGTTTTCTTGGATGAATTGCTTGCTTTGGAGGTGGGTTTCGTAGGCTCCTGCCTTTCTTGGCACCTCCCTGTGCTCTGGGTGCCTTGCGGCGGGCCCCGAGATTTGCAGAGCGCGCCCGCCCGTTTGGCGGGAGCCGTGGCACCGGGCGGGCCCGGAGGCCTGGGTCTCTGGCGAGTCCTCGGGACTGGAGTCGTCGACACGAAGCGGGGGGCATTGGGAATCCCGGGTGCACAGGGCCTGTTTTCCCGGTGGCTGGCGAAGCAATGTCCTTCCCCCGGGTAAAGCAGCCCATGCGTTCCGGAGCCGACGTCTTGGCTGGCGTCTGTGGCACCCGCTGCCCCTGCCCGCCCCTTCCCCCGGTTTGGAAGGGTGCGACGACGGCGCCCGATGGGTGAATTGAATCGCCTGGGCGTTCCGGGAGCGGGAAGGCACCGCGAACGGCAGGGAACCCAGCGGCTGCGCCTTTGGGGTCCGGCCCCCTGCCCTCCCAGGCTGGAGCCGGGCTCCTGGCGGGGCGGCGGCGAGGCGGAAGCGGTGGGATGCTGCTGCCCGGCCGGCGTGCAGTAGGGGCGGACCCCCAGCAGGAGGACCCCGGCTGCGGCTGCGGCGGGGGTGTAGGTGGGCGGTAAAGGGGAGCAGAGTCAGGGGAGGTTGGGAAGCATGGCGACTGTGGGGGGAAGGGAGGCAGCGGGGAAGCCACAAAAGCCTACAGCAGGCCGGGCGGGCGCGGTGGCTCGCGCCTGTAATCCCAGCACTCTGGGAGGCCGAGGCGGGTGGATCACGAGGTCAGGAGCTCCAGACCATCCCGGCTAACAGGGTGAAAGCCCGTCTCTAGGAAAAATAGAACAAAGTAGCCGGGCGTGGTGGCGGGCGCCTGTAGGCCCAGCTACTCGGGAGGCTGAGGCCGGGGAATGGCGTGAACCCGGGAGGCGGAGCTTGCAGTGAGCCGAGATGGCGCCACTGCACTCCAGCCTGGGCGACAGGGCGAGACTCCGTCTGGAAGAAAAGGAAAGAAACAGCAAAAAGCCAAAGAAAAAGCCTACAGCACCCGGTATTCCCAGGCGGTCTCCCATCCAAGTACTAACCAGGCCCGACCCTGCTTAGCTTCCGAGATCAGACGAGATCGGGCGCGTTCAGGGTGGTATGGCCGTAGACGCTGAAGGAGGCGCCTGGCTGCCCCAAGAGCCCAGCCCGGCCCGGCCGTGCCCGCCGGATTGCAGCCGACACCGCCAGCCCGGGGCCGCGGGGCTCGGATCGGGGACCCCCGAGCCGCTGGCCCGCGGCCTTCCCCCGGCTCCCGCGCTCCCGAGCTTCCACCACATCGGGCCCGCTCGGAGCAGGGAGTGCTCCGAGGCGTCAGGGCCCAGGGCCCACGATCCTGGGACGCCCTCCGGTCCTCCGCCCTGTCGCGGAGGCAGCGTTTTGGATCCCTCGCCGCACAGGGGCTCCTGCGAGGCCCCCTCTTGCCCCACCCACCCAGAGCCGTCAGGGCTGGCCGAAGGCGAACAGCCGGCCCAGCCGCGCGGGGCCTTTCTCTCACAACGCCCCCACCACGGTCGCTTGTCCCGACCAAGACCCGGCCGGGGGGGCAAGAGGGCGTGGGGTGTAGCGGGTCGGGGGGTGGCCCTGTTTTGCCCCGGGCTGGCACTAGAGGCGGCGGCCTGATCTCGGGTGAGAGGGCCTGAGAGAAACCCAGACACACCCCACCGCCACCAGGAGCAAATCCACTCCCCCACACACAGACACCCGGGCGCGCTCGCACGCGCGCGCGCGGACACACACGCACACACACACACAGAGACACACACGCACACACGCACGCGCACACGCACGCACACACACACGCGGCTTGAAGGAGAGCAAGGACGAGATGGATGGAGAGATAGAAACCGAGGGAGGGAGAGAGACAGCGATCGAGAGAGACAGGGGAGGGCGAGAGGGAAGGAGACAGACAGAGAGGCTGAGAAAGAGAGAGGCACAGAGAAGAGAGAGAGAGAGAGACAGAGAGACAGAGGGAAAACGACAGAAGTAGCGCGAGGTCCAGGGGGAAACCCAGAAGAGAGAGGCGGAGGGAGCTAGAGAGCGAGAGCGATAGAGCCTTAGAGAGGAAGCGCCCGGCTCCGTTAGGCAGCGCCCTCTTGAGCAGGCCGGGATAGGGTGGAGGGGGCTTGGGCTGCGCCCAGAACACGGGGGCCAGGCGGTCCGTGCGAGAGGACCAACGGAGCGCTGAGGCGGGCGTTTTCTTGGATGAATTGCTTGCTTTGGAGGTGGGTTTCGTAGGCTCCTGCCTTTCTTGGCACCTCCCTGTGCTCTGGGTGCCTTGCGGCGGGCCCCGAGATTTGCAGAGCGCGCCCGCCCGTTTGGCGGGAGCCGTGGCACCGGGCGGGCCCGGAGGCCTGGGTCTCTGGCGAGTCCTCGGGACTGGAGTCGTCGACACGAAGCGGGGGGCATTGGGAATCCCGGGTGCACAGGGCCTGTTTTCCCGGTGGCTGGCGAAGCAATGTCCTTCCCCGGGTAAAGCAGCCCATGCGTTCCGGAGCCGACGTCTTGGCTGGCGTCTGTGGCACCCGCTGCCCCTGCCCGCCCCTTCCCCCGGTTTGGAAGGGTGCGACGACGGCGCCCGATGGGTGAATTGAATCGCCTGGGCGTTCCGGGAGCGGGAAGGCACCGCGAACGGCAGGGAACCCAGCGGCTGCGCCTTTGGGGTCCGGCCCCCTGCCCTCCCAGGCTGGAGCCGGGCTCCTGGCGGGGCGGCGGCGAGGCGGAAGCGGTGGGATGCTGCTGCCCGGCCGGCGTGCAGTAGGGGCGGACCCCCAGCAGGAGGACCCCGGCTGCGGCTGCGGCGGGGGTGTAGGTGGGCGGTAAAGGGGGAGCAGAGTCAGGGGAGGTTGGGAAGCATGGCGACTGTGGGGGGAAGGGAGGCAGCGGGGAAGCCACAAAAGCCTACAGCAGGCCGGGCGGGCGCGGTGGCTCGCGCCTGTAATCCCAGCACTCTGGGAGGCCGAGGCGGGTGGATCACGAGGTCAGGAGCTCCAGACCATCCCGGCTAACAGGGTGAAAGCCCGTCTCTAGGAAAAATAGAACAAAGTAGCCGGGCGTGGTGGCGGGCGCCTGTAGGCCCAGCTACTCGGGAGGCTGAGGCCGGGGAATGGCGTGAACCCGGGAGGCGGAGCTTGCAGTGAGCCGAGATGGCGCCACTGCACTCCAGCCTGGGCGACAGGGCGAGACTCCGTCTGGAAGAAAAGGAAAGAAACAGCAAAAAGCCAAAGAAAAAGCCTACAGCACCCGGTATTCCCAGGCGGTCTCCCATCCAAGTACTAACCAGGCCCGACCCTGCTTAGCTTCCGAGATCAGACGAGATCGGGCGCGTTCAGGGTGGTATGGCCGTAGACGCTGAAGGAGGCGCCTGGCTGCCCCAAGAGCCCAGCCCGGCCCGGCCGTGCCCGCCGGATTGCAGCCGACACCGCCAGCCCGGGGCCGCGGGGCTCGGATCGGGGACCCCCGAGCCGCTGGCCCGGCCTTCCCCCGGCTCCCGCGCTCCCGAGCTTCCACCACATCGGGCCCGCTCGGAGCAGGGAGTGCTCCGAGGCGTCAGGGCCCAGGGCCCACGATCCTGGGACGCCCTCCGGTCCTCCGCCCTGTCGCGGAGGCAGCGTTTTGGATCCCTCGCCGCACAGGGGCTCCTGCGAGGCCCCCTCTTGCCCCACCCACCCAGAGCCGTCAGGGCTGGCCGAAGGCGAACAGCCGGCCCAGCCGCGCGGGGCCTTTCTCTCACAACGCCCCCACCACGGTCGCTTGTCCCGACCAAGACCCGGCCGGGGGGGCAAGAGGGCGTGGGGTGTAGCGGGTCGGGGGGTGGCCCTGTTTTGCCCCGGGCTGGCACTAGAGGCGGCGGCCTGATCTCGGGTGAGAGGGCCTGAGAGAAACCCAGACACACCCCACCGCCACCAGGAGCAAATCCACTCCCCCACACACAGACACACCCGGGCGCGCTCGCACGCGCGCGCGCGGACACACACGCACACACACACACACACAGACACACACGCACACACGCACGCGCACACGCACGCACACACACACGCGGCTTGAAGGAGAGCAAGGACGAGATGGATGGAGAGATAGAAACCGAGGGAGGGAGAGAGACAGCGATCGAGAGAGACAGGGGAGGGCGAGAGGGAAGGAGACAGACAGAGAGGCTGAGAAAGAGAGAGGCACAGAGAAAGAGAGAGAGAGAGACAGAGAGACAGAGGGAAAACGACAGAAGTAGCGCGAGGTCCAGGGGGAAACCCAGAAGAGAGAGGCGGAGGGAGCTAGAGAGCGAGAGCGATAGAGCCTTAGAGAGGAAGCGCCCGGCTCCGTTAGGCAGCGCCCTCTTGAGCAGGCCGGGATAGGGTGGAGGGGGCTTGGGCTGCGCCCAGAACACGGGGGCCAGGCGGTCCGTGCGAGAGGACCAACGGAGCGCTGAGGCGGGCGTTTTCTTGGATGAATTGCTTGCTTTGGAGGTGGGTTTCGTAGGCTCCTGCCTTTCTTGGCACCTCCCTGTGCTCTGGGTGCCTTGCGGCGGGCCCCGAGATTTGCAGAGCGCGCCCGCCCGTTTGGCGGGAGCCGTGGCACCGGGCGGGCCCGGAGGCCTGGGTCTCTGGCGAGTCCTCGGGACTGGAGTCGTCGACACGAAGCGGGGGGCATTGGGAATCCCGGGTGCACAGGGCCTGTTTTCCCGGTGGCTGGCGAAGCAATGTCCTTCCCCCGGGTAAAGCAGCCCATGCGTTCCGGAGCCGACGTCTTGGCTGGCGTCTGTGGCACCCGCTGCCCCTGCCCGCCCCTTCCCCCGGTTTGGAAGGGTGCGACGACGGCGCCCGATGGGTGAATTGAATCGCCTGGGCGTTCCGGGAGCGGGAAGGCACCGCGAACGGCAGGGAACCCAGCGGCTGCGCCTTTGGGGTCCGGCCCCCTGCCCTCCCAGGCTGGAGCCGGGCTCCTGGCGGGGCGGCGGCGAGGCGGAAGCGGTGGGATGCTGCTGCCCGGCCGGCGTGCAGTAGGGGCGGACCCCCAGCAGGAGGACCCCGGCTGCGGCTGCGGCGGGGGTGTAGGTGGGCGGTAAAGGGGAGCAGAGTCAGGGGAGGTTGGGAAGCATGGCGACTGTGGGGGGAAGGGAGGCAGCGGGGAAGCCACAAAAGCCTACAGCAGGCCGGGCGGGCGCGGTGGCTCGCGCCTGTAATCCCAGCACTCTGGGAGGCCGAGGCGGGTGGATCACGAGGTCAGGAGCTCCAGACCATCCCGGCTAACAGGGTGAAAGCCCGTCTCTAGGAAAAATAGAACAAAGTAGCCGGGCGTGGTGGCGGGCGCCTGTAGGCCCAGC